>NW_003571057.2:807632-860777 GCF_000001405.40 Homo sapiens
ATGATCATCTCAATAGATGCAAAAAAAGCTTTCTGTAAAATCCAACATCCCTTCATGATAAAAACTGTCAATAGGCATCAAAGGAACATACCTCAAAATATTAAGAGCCATCTATGACAAACCCACAGCCAACATCATATTGATGGGCAAAAGCTGGAACCATACCCCTTGAGAACCGAAACAAGACCAGGATGACCACTCCCGCCATTTTAATTCAACATGGTACTGGAAGTCCTAGCCAAAGCAATCAGGCAAGAGAAGGAAATAAAAGGCATTAAAATTGGAAAAGAAGTAGTGATACTGTCTCTCTTTGCTGATGAAATAATTTTATACATAGAAAACCCTAAAGACTCTGTCAGAAGGCTCCTGAAACTGATAAACAAATTCAATAAAGTTTCGGGATTAAAAAAATGTACACAAATTAGTAACATTTCTATGCACCACTAACATTCTAGCTGAGAACTAAATCAAGAACACAATTCCATTTACACTAGCCACAAAGAAAATAAAATACCTAGGAATCCATCTAACCAAGAAGGTGAAAATTCTCTACAAGGAGAACTACAAAACACTTCTGAAAGAAATAAGAAATGATACAAACAAATGGAAGAATATTCCATGCTCATGAATTAGGAGAACAAATAGTTAAAATCGCCATACTTCCAAAAACAAATTGCAGAGTCAATGCTATCCATTTCAAAATGCAATGTCATTTTTCACGAAATTATAAAAATTTATTCTAAAATGTATTTGGCACCAAAAAAAGAGCCTGAATACACATAGGAATCCTAAGCACAAAGAACAAAGCCCAGGCATCACATTACCCAACTTCAAACTATACTACAATGCTATAGTAACCCAAACAGCATGATACTACTACAAAAACAGACACATAGACCAATGAGACAGAATAGAGAACCCAGAAATGAGGCTACATACCTACAATCATCTTTGAAAAAATTGACAAAAACAAGCAATGTGGAAAGTACCCTTTCTTCAATAAATAGTTCTGGGATAACTGACTACTCATATGCAAAATAATAGAACTGGACCCCTAACTCTCACTATATACAAAAATTAACCCAAGATAGTTTAAAGATTTAAATGTAAAACCTCAAAATATTAAAATTCTAGAAGAAAACCTAGGAAATATCCTTCTCAAGATAGACTTTGGCAAAGAATTTATGGCTAACTCCCCAAAACCAATTGTGACAAAGACAGAAATTGGGACCTAACTCAACTGAAGAGCTTCTGCACAGCAAACAAAAGTATCAACAGAGTAAACAGATAACCTACAGACTGGGAGAAAATATTTGCAAACTATGCATCTGACAAAGTTCTAATATCCAGAATCTATAAGGAATGTAAACAAATCAACAAGCAGAAAACCAAAAAACCTCAATTAAGTATGACATGAACAGACACTTCTCAAAAGAAGATGTACACATGGCCAAAAAACATATGAACAAATGCTTATTATCAGTAATCATCAGAGAAATGCAAATTAAAACCACAGTGAGATACCATCTCACAACAATCAGAGAAGCAGAAGCAATTACTAAAAAGTTTTTTGTTTTTTTTAATAACAGATGCTGACAAGATTGTGGAGAAAAGGGAACACTTATACACTCTTGGTGGGAATGTTAACTAGTTCAGCCAATGTGATAAGCAGTTTGGAGACTTCTCAAATAACTTAAAATAGAACTACTATTCAATCAAGCAATCCCACTACTGGGTATATACCAAAAGGAAGGTAATTAACTATGTCAAAAAGACACATGCACTAGTATATTCATTGCTGTGCAATTCAGAATAGCAAAGATTTGCAGTCAACCTAAGTGCTCACCAACAGTGGATTAGTTAAAGAAAATGTGCTACATATACACATGGAACATTACATGGCCATAAAAAATAATGAAATCATGTCCTTTGAAGCAACATGAATGTAGCAGGAGGTCAATCTCCTAAGTGAACTAACCCAGGAACAGAAAACCAAATACCACATGTTATCACTTATAACTGAGAACCAAACATTGAATACACATGAACATAAAGATGGAAACAACAGATACCGAGGACTACAGATGGGGGGAGGAGTAGGGAGGTATAGGCTGAAGAAACACCTGTTGGATTCTATGCTCATTGCCTGGGTGATGGCATTGTTGGAACCACAAACCTCAGAGTCACACAATATGCCTATGTAACAAACCTGCATGCATACCTTTAATCTACAGTAAAGGTTGAAGTTATTTAAAAATAGGAAGAAGAATTACCCTATACCTAAAGCTAAGATTTTTCCCTTTGAATATTCGTTTCTTCATCACTGTAGATAAGCAGGGAAAGAAAAATTATTATACTATACTAGCCTTTTATGTGACCATGAGGATTTGGGGTAGGTAGGTGGACAGCTTAGATAATTCACCAGGATATTGATACAGGCTCCATGGCTGGAAATAACCAAGGATGAGTGCTGTGTTTTGAGTGGTCTCCCCCAGAAACGTTTGTTGAAATCCTAACCCCTGGTATGTATGAATGTGAATTCATATTATATAAAAAGGAATAAATAGCCTGAGCACAGTGGCTCACACCTGTAATCCCAGCACTTTGGGAGGCCAAAGCAGGTGGATCATTTGAGGTCAGGAGTTCTGGCCAATATGGCAAAACTTCATCTCTACAAAAAAAAAATACAAAAAAAAAAATTGGCTGGGTATGGTGGCGCATGCCTGTAGTCCCAGCTACTCAGGAGGCTGAGGCAGGAATTGCTGAAACATGGAAGGCAGAGGTTGCAGTGAGCCAAGATCATGCCACTGCACTCCAGCCTGGGTGAGACGGCAAGATATTCTGTCAAAAATAAATAAATAAAAAACAGAAGAAGAAATACAAGAATGACAGCAAACTTTGTATTCAAAACTATGAAAGTAAGAAACAGGTGGACCAACATTTTTAAAGTGCTACAAGAAAATATTTCAAACTAGAATCTTTCAACCTGAAAAGGAAAACATTTTCCTGCAATAAAGGTGCCATTAAAAATGTCTCACAATTTATTACATGAAGCATTGTTCTACAATAAATGTTAAGCTCTTGAAGCAAAGATTAATGATACCATTTAGTAACTTGAAATTCAAAAAAGTGGAAGTATCCCAAGAGGCAAATACGTGTGCAATTATTAAATGTTTCATATCAACACCCAACCTTATGCTGTCTACATAAGCTGCACTTCAAATACTAATCCACAAGATGTAAATATTGAAAGAATGACATTACCTTGTCATGATAATGCCCAGTGCAAAATATGCTTCTAGTCAGTTGTATACATAGAATAGGTAAATGTTTGTAATAAAAAGTATTCCTCAATAGAAGTTTCTTAACTCAAAGAATGAAATATTTCACCATGCACATACAAAGAAGAGATATATGGAGATATGAAGAGGAGTACTTCATAATGACAAAGAGGCAAATTCATAAATAAGACATAATCATCCTAAATGCCTACACACCTAAAGCTGGAACCTCAAAACACATTAAATTAAAGGCATAATTCAAAACATAATCAATCACATCCAAATTGCAGCTAGAGATAGCAACATTCACCTCACTTCCAGAACAAGTACACAGAAAATTATTAAGCATATGAAAGACTTGAAAAACATTTGTGTAGGCGGCGGGTGCATAAGGTTGGGTGTTGATATGAAACATTTAATAATTTCAATAATCCTAGCACTTTGGGAGGCCAAAATGGGAGGATCACTTGAGGCCAGGAGTTTGAGACCAGCCTGGGCACCATAGTGAGACCCCGTCTCTATTTTTTTTAAATAAAGAAAAACATTTGAATGATTTTTTTCTTAACTGACATTTAGAAAACATCCACCTCAAATCTTCCTAATCCACAAACTTGTCTAGCACCCCTGGAACATTCACCAAAATAAATTTTTAAATGCTGAATCATAGGTAATATGATAGATGAAACAGTTGAATTAAATTATAAATGTACAACAAGGAAATGCTGGGGAAATTATCAAATATTTTAAAATTAATAAACACACATAGCAATAAACAATGAGTGGAAGAAAAACATTTCAAAGAAAGGTGGAAAATATTTTGTATCAATTAAAAATGAAAACACATCTCGGCAAATGACTGGGGATACAGATAGTACAGCGTTAAGGGACAATAAGCCTCAAATGTCTGTGTTAGAAAAGAAGGAAGAGCTGAGTAAATAGGTAACTTTCACTTGCAGAAATACTACACATCAGCAAATTAATTCCAAAGTAACGTCGAGGAAAAACATAAAATGGCAAGCAAATATATACGTGCATATGTACATACATTCATAAATGACAAACAGGACAGAAAAATCAGTGACATCAATTTTGTTCCTTAGAAGAAACAGGAAAATTGACCCCAAAAAACTTTCCAGGCCACATTTGGTCATGATGGAAATATTTTGGCACTTCCTGGTTAAGCTCAACACCAACTTGCACCCAAAACCAATAATTTCATTTCTAGGTAAATATGTCTAATTAATTCAGCATATGTATGCAAGGGATCACACAGAAACACGATTATCAAGGCCCGAGTTATAAAAGAGAAAATCCGGAAACAACACAAATGTCCATGATAAAAAGAATGGATAATTACATGTTGATAAAGTTATGCATGGACTATTAAACTGCAATCCAAAAGAATAAAATAGAGCTATAAAATTCAATATGTATATGGTGTCATAGAAACACAAATGTGAGAAAAAGAAAGAAAAATACAAAATTTATATTTTTTAAAATTTGAAACAACTATATATGTGAGTGCTTAGGGTGTGTGTGTGTGTGTGTGTGTGTGTGTATAACCATATGTATATAAATGCACACATACGCACACATATAGAATGTCCCGGCCAGGCATGGTGGCTCACACCTGTAATCTCAGCACTTTGGGAGGCTGAAGTAGACAGATCACTTGAGGTTAGGAGTTCAAGACCAGCCTGGCCAACATGGAGAAACCTCCTCTCTACTAAAAGTACAAAAATTAGGTGGGCGTGGTGGTGGGTGCCTGTAAATCCAGCTACTTAGGAGGCTGAGGCACGAGAATTGCGTGAACCTGGGAGGTGGAGGCTGCAATGAGCCGAGGTCTCACCACTGCATTCCAAACTGGGTGACGAAGTGAGATTGCGTCTCAAAAAAAAAAAAAGTTCTAAAAGTTGTGACTTGGGTGTGGCAGATTGTGACATACTGCCAGCTGCTAGAAATGCTGGGGCAGGAGGATTGCTTGAACTCTGAAGTCAAAGAACAGCCTGGGGAAAATAGCACATGAAGAAGAGTTTGAATCTCAGATAAAAACAACAAAAATACATCAAAAGTCTTTAATGTAAGCCAAGCATTCAGTCATCTCCTGTATGAGAGATTGGATCTGAGACGTGTTTTGAGTTGGTTATAGTGAAGGATGCAAGGTGTCAATTCTAGTTGGAACAATTTCCAGGAAGCCATGTTCTGCTCTTGACCAAACAGCCACTGGGCCTCATGCAAGGTAGAAATAGCCTGCATACGTCATCCTCCCATGATGTGGTCAGCATGTAAACTGCATGAGCCCCTCACAACATCCTGTGTGCTGCTGAACTGAGCTGGGGCGCAGCCGCCTGTCTGCACCGGCAGCACCATGTCGCTCATGGTCGTCAGCATGGCGTGTGTTGGTGAGTCCTGGAAGGGAATCGAGGGAGGGAGCGGTGGGGTGGAGATCTGGGCCTGGAGTGGAGATATGGGCCTGGAGTGGAGATATGGGCCTGGAGTGGAGATATAGGCCTGGAGTGGAGATATGGGCCTGGGGTGGAGATATGGGCCTGGAGTGGAGATATGGGCCTGGAACTGTAGATATGGGCCTGAAGTAGAGATATGGGCCTGGAGTAGAGATATGGGCCTGGAACTGTAGATATGGGCCTGGAGTGGAGATATTGGCTTGGAGTGCAGATATGGACCTGGAATTGAGATACGGGCCTGGAGGTGGAGATATGGGCCTAGAGTGGAGATATGGGCCTGGAGGTGGAGATATGGGCCTGGAACTGTAGATATGGGCCTGGAGTAGAGATATGGGCCTGGAGTGGAGATGTTGGCTTGGAGTGCAGATATGGGCCTGGAATGGAGACACGGGCCTGGAGGTGGAGATACAGGCCTGGAGGTGGAGATATGGGCCTGGAGTGTAGATATGGGCCTGGAGTAGAGATATAGGACAGAGGTGGAGATATAGGCCTGGAGTGGAGATATGGGCCTGGAGTAGAGATATAGGACGGAGGTGGAGATATGGGCCTGGAGTGGAGATATGGGCCTGGAGGTGATGTACAGATGGATCATCCATCATGATCTTTCTTTCCAGGGTTCTTCTTGCTGGAGGGGCCCTGGCCACATGTGGGTGAGTCCTTCCCCCAAACCTTAGGTTGTCATCTCCCCACATAAGATGATGTTCCTGAAACGGGAGGCAGGCGACACAGGGGGTTGACTGATGGGCTGACCATGGGAAGCCATGTGGGAATCTCTCATGAACTAGGAAAAGGAAGCCAGGGGAAGCTTCGCCACAGTTCTGTCCTAGCCCTCCCCGGCCTTTCTTTCCCTTGGCTGAGTCTGTGGGGACCCAGGGGGAGACTGAAGTGCTCAAAGGAGTGGTGTGCAGGGAGGAAGTGGTGTCACCGGCAGAGGAAGGGAGAGAAGCAGTGCAAGGAACAACAGGCCTCTGAGGACAAGAGCATAACTCACACCCTCCAGCGTTTCCATGACGGTAGGGGCTGCAATGTGGCTGCTGTCATTCTACCTAAGAGGTGGGGGAACCACAGTCATGACCCTGACATTCCAGATCTTCTAATAGGGGCTCAGTTGTTTATTATGGTTCATGCATTAGCTGATCATGCCCTCCATCCTGTGTCTACCTTGTGTTCTTTTATGTAAGTAATTTTGCAGTGTTAAAATCTAGTAAGAGTCGCTTCTTCAGCACCTGCTCAAAGTTCTCAGCTGACACTTGCTGTAGGGAGACGCCATGTCTATGCGGGATGGGTCCTTCCTGTAGCCCTGGGCACCCAGGTGTGGTAGGAGCCTTAGAAACGTGGAAATGGGAGAATCTTCTGAGCACAGGGAGGGAGGGGCGGCTCCACATCCTCCTCTCTAAGGTAGTGCCTCCTTCTCCCCCAGGTGGTCAGGACAAGCCCTTCCTCTCTGCCTGGCCCGGCACTGTGGTGTCTGAAGGACAACATGTGACTCTTCAGTGTCGCTCTCGTCTTGGGTTTAAAGAATTCAGTCTGTCCAAAGAAGACGGGATGCCTGTCCCTGAGCTCTACAACAGAATATTCCGGAACAGCTTTCTCATGGGCCCTGTGACCCCAGCACATGCAGGGACCTACAGATGTTGCAGTTCACACCCACACTCCCCCACTGGGTGGTCGGCACCCAGCAACCCTGTGGTGATCATGGTCACAGGTCAGAGGCTTTCTGTCTGGGCTTCTCACTGTCCCACCTCCTGAATCCCAGAGCTTCTGGTGGGGGTGTCCATCAGGGTCCAATCATCCAGGCCCTGGCTGTATTTGGGGTAAAGGGGGATTCAGTACAGAGAAATAGTTGCTGTGGTGGGAAGAATAATTGTCCCCAGTGATGGCTACATGGTAATCCATGAACCCTGTGACTATTTATGTCATAGGGCAGGGGACTGAAGGGGAAGATGGAGCTCAGGTTGTTGATGAGTTGACCTTGCGATGGGGAGACAGCCTGGACTGTCCTGCTGTGCTCAGAGTAATCACAAGGGTCCTCATGAGAGGAGGAGGAAGAGGAAAGTGGGGTTAGAGCAACGTCGTGGGAGGGAGACTCCATCAGCCACAGCGGGCTTTGAAGATGGGGGAAGGCCATGAGCCACAAAGGCAGTTGGCCTCTAAGGGCTGGAGAAGTCAAGGGAACTGATTCTTCCCTGAGTCTCCAGAGGAAACACAGCCCTGTAGATGCCTTGATTTTAGCCCAGAGAGAACTGGGTCCGATTTCTGTTCTCCAGAAGTGGAAGGGGTCATTGTATTCTCTCCTGCCCCATGTTTGTGACAATTTTCTCCAGCAGCAACAGGAAACCAACACAGGAACCCAGGTGAAGCACAAGTTAAGAAACCAAACAAGGAGAAGGTTGGCTACACTGATTTTAGCATGGGTGGGATACTGATGCTACCACCAGGCTCGATCCACATAGGGAGGGGTTGATGCTCCTGGAACCAGCACCAGGGGCCACCCTATGGAAGCTGGGGCCATGGAGAAGGCACAGACATGACAGGAGAGGCTCCCAATCCCCATCAGGAACAGGGACACTGATGCCTGCCTTACTGATGAGTTCGTACCTCCTGCCAGCCTTTCCAATCTGTCCAAAAGAGATTGATTCAGGCTGCTAAGAGCCTGGACATGCAGCCTGTCGTGGTTCCTCTTCCACCCCTACATAAACACAGGAAAGAGATTAGTGGGAAACAGATACAACAGCCTAAGAGGTGACACTGAGCACAGTGGGAAGGGAATCAGGGCTACTAGAGACAGAGAGACAGGGAAGAGGGAGGGAGACAGATGGAGGGACCTGCAACAGGGGTTATGGGCACAAAAGAACACGGAGACACAGAGAGGAAGGAGAGAGATAGACACCATGGAGGGGAAGCCTCACTTATTTCAGGTCCCATGAATGGGATGAGAAAGGGAGACGCCTTCTGAACTCACAACCTCTCTTCTTAGGAGTCCACAGAAAACCTTCCCTCCTGGCCCACCCAGGTCCCCTGGTGAAATCGGGAGAGACGGTCATCCTGCAATGTTGGTCAGATGTCAGTTTTGAGCGCTTCCTTCTGCACAGAGAGGGGATCACTGAGGACCCCTTGCGCCTCGTTGGACAGCTCCACGATGCGGGTTCCCAGGTCAACTATTCCATGGGTCCCATGACACCTGCCCTTGCAGGGACCTACAGATGCTTTGGTTCTGTCACTCACTTACCCTATGAGTTGTCAGCTCCCAGTGACCCTCTGGACATCGTGGTCGTAGGTGAGAGAATACAGACCTGCCTCTCACCCTTGCTGGGAGATGGAGTGAATGATCTAGGACTGGAAGCCCCAGGTGGTCATGAGGAAGATGAGTGTGGGGTTCCTATGGAGAGAAAGTGACTTGGTGAGGTCTGTACCAACAAAGGCAGAGAAACAGGAGACACAAGTACAGACCTCATGTCATAACATAGAAGCCAGACACAGGGGCCATACAAGGTGTTAGAAAAAGAGATAAAGAGGTAAAGAAGACACAGAGAGACAGATATATCCCAGAGAGAGGTGTCCTTCTATGCTGACTTTGTTCAGAGACCAGGCACAGGTTAGAAGGTTCCATTCTGTTTTACCTCTACAAAGTGTTCTCTCCCAGGAGAACCCAAAGAGACACATCTATCTGGCCTGAGTTGGGCCGTGTGGCCCCAGGCTGGTGGCACCTACAGATGCTGTGTTTATTCTTAAACCTCTGCCTTCCGTGCAGTGGAGCTGTCATCGTCCCAGGACACCATGGCCCCAGGTGAGGGAGCAGAACACCAACCCCTGTATGTTGTGAGTTCCTGGAGTCCCCATACTGGATTCTGAGGCTCATATTCAAATAGCACCACATGTTATAGGATTACTGAGAACAAAAGCCCACAGAGAGACACGGAGTGAAATCAGGGAAATCAAAAAGCAAAGACATGAACACACACACAGAATGAGCCAGAAGAAGGGAATTGAGAGACTCACAGACACATAAAGAGACAGAAAAAGAGGGCAGAGAAGTGGAGCGTATGATGGAAGGAAGCAGAGAAAAGCCCTAAAATCAGAGCCCTGAGGGAGGGGCACAAAGACAGGGAAAGATAAAGATGTGGGGATGGATTGCAGAGACTCCAAAAGGGAACTAGAGAGACTGAGAGGCAGAGAAAGACAAGGAGATGGAGAGAGACAGATGATAGATGGATAGATAGATATAGATAGATGAAAGATAAAAGGTATATGATAGATAATAGAGAGACAGGTGATAGACAAATAGATGATGAATGACTGATAGATGATATAGATAGACAAGTAGAAAGACAGACAGATGATATATAAATAGATATAGAGAGATAGAAAGACAGATAAACACATGATGATAGATGGATAGATGCATACATACATACATTGATTGATAGATGATAGATAACAGAGAGATAGGTCATAGATACACAGATGATGATAGATGATAGATACATACATAGATAAATGATAGATCGATCAATAGATAGTAGATAGAAATATGCAGAAAGTTATGAGCAAGACAGAAAGTGAGAGACTCAGAATTAAAGAAAGAGGAAGATCAAGTCAACCAGTCCAAGGAGGGTCAGAGAGAATAAAATGGTACAAAAAAAGAAAACATAGCTAGGGATGGAGAAGTGAGGTCAGAGACCTAGAGAGACAGAGAAGGTGGAAGGAGGAAATAGACATGAAGAGAGATGGGGGTGGAGGGTGAGAGAGAGAAAGAGAGCATTAAGTCATAGAGCAGGGGAGTGAGTTCTCAGCTCAGGTGTGAGGAGAGCTGTGACAAGGAAGAACCTCCCTGAGGAAACCACCTCTTCTTCTTCCAGGTCTATATGGGAAACCTTCTCTCTCAGCCCAGCCGGGCCCCACGGTTCAGGCAGGAGAGAATGTGACCTTGTCCTGCAGCTCCCGGAGCTTGTTTGACATTTACCATCTATCCAGGGAGGCAGAGGCCGGTGAACTTAGGCTCACTGCGGTGCTGAGGGTCAATGGAACATTCCAGGCCAACTTCCCTCTGGGCCCTGTGACCCACGGAGGGACCTACAGATGCTTCGGCTCTTTCCGTGCCCTGCCCCACGCGTGGTCAGACCCGAGTGACCCACTGCCCGTTTCTGTCACAGGTGAGAAAACACCATGCCTGTCCCATGTCTTGTGATCCTAGAGCCATAGCTGAGGAGCTTCCTGCTGATGATGGAGAGAAGCATGGACAGATGCCGAGACAGAACACACAGCATGGGTGTAAGGGCGGGGTCAGGGCGCAGGATGGCAGACAGGGCACCTCCAAACCCTCCTGTATGGCCTGCAAGGAGGCCCTTGATCAGGGTTCCAGGCACCCAGGCAGATGGAGAAAGAGGTCAGAACAGACCCAGAGGAGGGAGACTGGGCTCTGCCTGGGGAGATCAGAGGTTCTCTCAGCCCCTCAACCTTACCCACTTCCCAGAAGCCCATCCTGGCCTGTCACCCACAGAGAGATGTCATCACCAGCAACGCCTACACCCTTTTCTTTTTGTTTGAAGAAATATTTATTGAGGTGAAATATACCTATGTAATTTACCACCTTTACCATTTTTAAGTGTGAAGTCTACTGTTCATAAATACATTTATAGGCTGGGCACGGTGGCTCACGGTTGTAATCCCAACACTTTGAGAGGCCAAGGCAGGTGGATCATTTGAGATCAGGGGCTCAAGACCACCCTGGCCAACATGGGGAAAATCCATCTGTACTAAAAATACAAAATAATAATAATAATGATAATAATTAGCCGAGCATGGTGGCACATGCCTGTAGTCCCAGCTACTTGGGAGGGTTGGGCAGGAGTTGCACTTAATTGCAGGAGGCGGAGGTTGCAGTGAGCTGAGATCATGCCACTGCACTGCAGCCTGGGCAACAGAGAGAGACACTCTCTCAAAATTAATTAATTAATTAATTAGTATTCTTTTTTTTTTACCCTCCACCCTTCCCTTCCTGGCCTCTGGTAGCCACCATTCTACTCTCTACCTTTGTGAGATCCACCTTTTAGCTCCTGCATATGAGTGAGAAATGGAAATACTTGTAATGACCTCCAGTTCCATTCATGTGGCTGTAAATGACAGGATGTTACTCTTTCTATGGATGAGTTGTCCCTATTGTGTGTGTGTACCACATTCTCTCCATCCATTCACCCACTGATGGGCGGGTAGGTTGATCCACATCTTGGCTACTGTGAACACTGCTGGAACAGTCATGGGAGTGCAGATGTCACTTCGATACGCTGATGTCCTTTCCTTTGGGTTTACACCCAGTCATGGAATTGCTAGATCCTCTGGAAGTGTCTTTTTACATTTTGTTTTATGGTTTTTGTTTTTGTTTTTGTTTTTTTTAGACAGTTTCACTCTTGTTGCCCAGGCTGGAGTGCAGTGGTGCCATCTGGGCTCACTGCAACCTCCACCTCCAGGATTCAAGAGATTCCCCAGCCTCAGCCTCCCAAGTAGCTGGGTTACTGGCTCCCACCACCACACTCGGCTAATTTTTATATTTTTAGTAGAGACAGAGTTTCGCTATATTGGCCAGGCTGCTCTTCAACTCCTGACCTCAAGTGACCTACCCACCTCGGCCTCCCAATGTGCTGGGATTACAGGCATGAACCACTGTGCCCGACCTCATTTTATTTTTTGAGGAACTTCCATACTCTTCTCCTCTGTAATGGCTGTACTAATTTACATTCGTATCAGCAGTGTACCAGATGCAACCCTGGTTGACTCAGCAGAGCAAGAGACGTGCAGTAAGAGAGAATTTAGCTTATTTATGCACACGACACTTCCACTCACTCACTCGTTCAGCCAATGCCCCATGCTCTGGCTGTGCAGTGTGGAATCTTTTCCTATTGTTGCCATAACAAATTTCCACAAGCTTCGTGGATGAAAACATGTTTTTCTTAATTATCTCACAGTGCTGTAACTCAGAAGTATGAACTGCATTTCACTGGGCTGATATCAAAGGGAGAGTAAGGCTGGATTTCTTTTTAAGGTTCCAAGCAAGAATCTGCTCCTTAACGTTTCCCAGCTCCTAGAGGCTCCCACGTTCCTGGGCCCCTGGTCCCCTTCCTCCTTCCTCCTTCCTCAAAGCCCACAAAGGCTGGTCACGTCTCACATGGCATCATTCAGACTCTTCTTCTTTACCCATACCTTTTTCTCTGAATCCTGCTCTGCCTTCTTCCTCATCTTTTAAGGACTTTGGGATTCTATTGGGGTCACCAAGATAATCCATCTCAATCTCCCTAAAATCATCCAGCGTACCCTCTTTTTAAGTTCAGCTGATTAGCAACCGTAATGCCATCTGCAATCTTCATTCCTCCTTTCCTGTAAAATAACATATTCACAAGCTATGGAGGCTAAGACAGGGACATTTTGGGGGTGGGGCAGCATTCTCCTGCCTTCCACAAATGGTAAACAGGATGCATTTGGCCTCTGCTCTTGGGACGCTGATATTGCAGATGGGTAAATGCGAGGGCAGAGAATGAATGCACAAGGGTACCAATAAATGAATGATCCATTGGGAAGCATCTGTGCACCAAATCTGGGGTTTTTTGTGTGTGTGTGTTTTTTTTGTTTTCTTTTTTTTTTTTGAGTAGAGTCTCTCTCTGTTCCACAGGCTGGAGTGCAGTAGCACAATCTCAGCTCATTGCAACCTCTGCCTCCTGGGTTCATGCAATTCTCCTGCCTCAGCCTACCGAGTAGCTGGGATTACAGCTGTGCGCCACCACACTCGGCTAATTTTTTTGGTATATTTTTTAGTAGAAATGAGGTTTCACCATGTTGTGCAGGCTGTCTCAAACTCCCAATCTCAAGTGATCCCACCGCCTTAGCGTCCCTAAGTGCAAAGATTACAGGCGAGAGCTACTGCGCCCAGCCAGGATTTAAAATAAGTAATAGATAATGCTGAGTATATAATTTCAGGTGACAGAGAAGGTCTCACTGATCAGATAATATTTGTGACCTTAATGGAAAAAATGGATTCAACCCTTGGAAGATTGGCGGAAGGATTTTCCACACTGAGCTCTCAGCCGTGAAGGCACAAAGGTGGAAACATTCTTAGTTCAAGGAAGAGGCTCTGCCTCAAATGCTGGGAATGAGATGGGGAGAATGACAAGACAACTGTAGAGAGATGGAGAGCACACTGGGTACACAGGAAACTAAGGAGGAACAAGGAGCATGTTTTTGATACTCACAGCCCTTGGATTCAACTCAGAGCTAACTAGGAATCCCTACCTGATTAACAGTGACCGACATGAAAATAAGGGAGGCCCAGGTGCGTAACTGGAATCTAGGAGACCGTGGAAAAGGCAATTCCCGCCCCACTGGTGAAACGTAGGGTTGATTTACACACTAAATGAATGAAAGATGGATATAAGCTATGCTTGTGAGGTAGAATCATTTGCAGGGAGGGCTTGCTGGGTTTGATTTTTCCTAGTAGTTTAATCCTTGTTTCATTAATTTCTTTCTGAGATGTGTTTTTTTTCTACATCTAAATCCATACCTGGCAGAGGAGCGATAGACACATGAGGGGTGGTGCAAATGAAGGGACCTAGTATAATATAATATACAAGACTGTGGATGGGGGCTCACACCTGTAACCCAACACTTTGGGAGGCCAAGGCGGGTAGATCACTTAAGGGTAGGAGTTTGAGACCAGCCTGGCCAACATGGTGAAACCCCGTCTGTACTAAAAATACAAAAATTAGCCTGGTGCATTGGCACCTGCCTGTAATCCCAGCGACTGGGGAGGCTGAAGCAGAAGAATGGCTTCAACCCTGGAGGCAGAGGTTGAACTGAGATCGCATCACTGCACTCCAGCCTGACACAGGGGGACTCTGTCTCAAAAAATAAAAATAAAACATACATAATTATGACACACAGAAATTACAAAGGCAACTGGATACCAACCATCATTTTTCTATTTCTCTGTGTTTAATTCTTTGACCCTTTATCTTATCCATTAAACAATCAGGTTAAACCTCTTCCTTATTTGGCTTTCTGTGAGCTTGGGATCATATGGAAAATGTGAAAGCCTCCTGAACCCACCAGCACAGGTCCTGGAATAGAGAACGTGCTCTGTTCATGGCATAAAACTTGCCCCTTCACCCAAATCCCCCAATTCATCTCTACTTCCAATCACCTATGGAGATACAGATAGATCATGGGGAGGTAAACACTAATACTCTTTGGAGTGAGCTCAGATCTTGGACTCAGAGACCAGTGCCAGCACTAGCCCCTGGTCACATTTCGTACTAACTCACAGAAGGACAGGCTGTATTGAAACAATAAACGACGGAGAGGGCGGTCCTTCCCCGTGCTTCTCGGGTGGAATAGCAGCCTAATATATGTCTCAGCAGATCACAAAAAGTAGCATGTTGTTCCTGGGCTACATCATTATTTCATGGCTGTTTGATTTAAGTCAGTTCTACTTCACTTTTTTTATCTTGATTTCATTTTTTCTTTCTTTTCTTGGAGAATGTAATTTTTTTGAGTCAAGAGGGTTGTGGTGGTAGAAACTGTAAAGCACATTCGCTGTGTATCAATCCCAATCCAGTCTTCCCAGAGAAGATTCTAAACACCTCCTGGAATGCACCTGGGCCTATACCAATTCCTATCACTCACCGTCACTCCAGGGAGACAGAACACACAGAGAACACATTACACAGGCAGGTTCATTACTAACAGATAAGCAGCGAGTGACAACAGAAACCTACATTTCAATGTGAGCCAGTCCCTCAAGGCTCAGAAAAGCTGCTCGAGACATGTGGAGTCACCCCATATGCAGTGTATCTGGGGGAAATCAAAAAGCAGCCCAGCCTGGGTTTTGTACCCTGGAGCCACAGGAAGCACTCAGCTAAAGCACTGCATGACGTCCTCCTCCAGGAAGAACAGGAAGACAGCCCAGGCTGTTCTGGGATGTTCCTCCTGATCTCAGGACGTTGCTGTCTTAGTCCATTTTTGTTGCTCTAAAGGAACACTTGAGCCTGGGTAACTTCTAAAGACAAGAAATGTGTTTGCCTCACAGTTCTGCAGGCTGTACTGGAAGCATGGCACCAGCATCTATTTCTTGTGACGGCCTCAGGCTGCTCCCACTCTGGCAGAAGGGAAGGAGGGTCTGTCTGTGCAGAGACCACAGAGATCACACGGCAAGAGAGGGACCAAGGGGGAGGGGGAGCGATGGAGCTTCCAAGCTCTTTTAACAACCAGTTCTCCAGGAACTAATAGAGGGGGAACTTGCTAACCCCGTCTCCTTGGAACAGCATTGATCTGTTCATGATGGATCCACCTCCATGACCCAAACAACTCCCAAGAGGCCCAACCTCCCACTCTGGGGGTTACATTTCAATGTGAGGTTTGAAGGGGTCAAACATCTAAACTAAAGCAGTTGTATCCTCAGCACGTTCTATGGTTACTACAACTGAGAAAGCAGGAGGAAGCTAGGTCTCCCGCCATCTGGGTGCTTGTCCTAAAGAGACGTTGTATGTGGTTACCTGTCAATCAAGAAATGTGAGACAATTCATATAGAGGAACTGCTATGATTAGCTTCTTATTGGTGTCTTGTCTTCCTCCAGGTAACTCCAGAAACCTGCACGTTCTGATTGGGACCTCAGTGGTCATCATCCCCTTTGCTATCCTCCTCTTCTTTCTCCTTCATCGCTGGTGTGCCAACAAAAAGAGTAAGTCTCACGAAGCAGAAGCCAGAGAGCTCAGGGCCATGTGGGGAAGCAGGATGGGAGCACTCAGGTGTGTGTTCCTCACAGACTGGATGGTCCCTGGCCCAAGGCAGGAGCCACAGAGGCAGGACTTTCTAGAGAGAGCACCAGACTCCCTGCCTCTGCCTTCAGCTCACAGACCATTGCCTGATTCTGAACCGTATCCTCACATCCCCTGCAGCCACTCACATCCAGGAGAAGGTTCCATGACAGGCAGAAAGTGGGACACAGAATCAATAGGATGGGAACTCAGAGCTATACATGGGATGGATCCTTGAGCTCAGAGAGATAGAATGTCTGAGTCTGCTGTTGGCAACTGAGGGACCTCAGGCACCTATGGCCTCCCCCTGTATGTTGGTATCTGCTTATGAAATGAGGACCCAGAAGTGCCCTCCGAGCTGTTTTGACGACTTCCGTCTTCTACAGATGCTGTTGTAATGGACCAAGAGCCTGCAGGGAACAGAACAGTGAACAGGGAGGTAGGTGCTCCTCCGCCCAGCCTCGTGGCTAGTCTTATTCCCAAAGAGTCCTGGAAAATGTGAGCACCCTCCCTCACTCAGCATTTCCCTCCCTCCAGGACTCTGATGAACAAGACCCTCAGGAGGTGACATACGCACAGTTGAATCACTGCGTTTTCACACAGAGAAAAATCACTCGCCCTTCTCAGAGGCCCAAGACACCCCCAACAGATACCAGCGTGTAACACGGAACTTCCAAATGCTGAGCGCAGATCCAAAGTTGTCTTCTGTCCACTAGCACCACAGTCAGGCCTTGATGGGATCTTCTAGGGAGACAATAGCCCTGTCTCAAAACCGGGTTGCCAGCTCCCATGTACCAGCAGCTGGACTCTGAAGGCGTGAGTCTGCATCTTAGGGCATCGCTCTTCCTCACACCACGAATCTGAACATGCCTCTCTCTTGCTTACAAATGTCTAAGGTCCCCACTGCCTGCTGGAGAGAAAACACACTTGCTTAGCCCACAATTCTCCATTTCACTTGACCCCTGCCCACCTCTCCAACCTAACTGGCTTACTTCCTAGTCTACTTGAGGCTGCGATCACACTGAGGAACTCACAATTCCAAACATATAAGAGGCTCCCTCTTAACACGGCACTTAGATACGTGCTATTCCACCTTTCCTCAGAGTATCTTTCAGCCTTCTGTCAGCAGTAAAACTTATAAATTTTTTTTATAATTTCAATGTAGTTTTCTATTCTTCAAGTAAACATGTCTGCCCTCATGGTTTCTTCAATGGGACTCTTTTCTTGCCTAAGGCTTCCGGTGTTATCATTACCACGTCCACATAACCCCATCTGTTCTCCGCTGGGTTCTCAGCCCTGGACTCTGAGCTTCTGGAAGCATGGTGGAGCCTGAATTGTCTCTGAGACTCCAATTTCCATCCAAAGATGCAGCACATAGGAGGTTCCAAGGATGGTGAATCAGATGAACAAGTGATATTCTTACTCTCTGCAGATCTGGAAAGCTGGCAGAGTCATTCCACGATGAAACATTTGTAGAGTCATAGGCCTTGTTAGTCTCATCTCCACAGGGACACGTATCAACACATCATCTTTCATACTACTATAAATAGACAGTCACTCCTCCATATCTCTGGGGTTTACACATGTTTATTGAATCAGCAATAAATCAAAAATATTTTGAGAAAAAAAATCCCCGAAGTTTCAAAAAGCAAAAAACTATGTTGAATCGACACAAATTGAGTGGCGTGTAGGCTGTGTCAGGAATTATAAGTAATCAAGAGATGATTTCATGTATACAGGAGGATGTGCATGGGTTCTATGCAATTGCTATGCTATTTTTTTTTTTTTTTTGAGACAGTCTCACTCTCTCACCCAGGCTGGAGTGCAGTGGCGTGATCTCAACTCACTGCAACCTCCGCCTTCCAGGTTCAAGCGATTCTCTTCCCTCAGCCTCCCCAGTAGCCTCCCCTAGGATTACAGGCACGTGCCACCATGCACAGATAAATTTTTTTGTGTGTATATTTTTAGTAGAGATGGGGTTTCAGAATGTTGGACCAGCTGGTCTTGAACTCCTGACCTTGTGATCTACCCAGCTCAGCCTCCCAAAGTGCTGGGATTACAGGCGTGAGCCACGGTGCCCAGCTTCACTATGCCATTTCATGCAAGGGGCTTGAGCATCTGCAGATTTTGGTATCTGAATGGGGATCCTGGAACCAATCACCCAGGTATAGTGAAGGACCATGGTATATAATTTTTATTTGTCAATCTTAAAAATAAAGCATAAAAAATTTACAACAACAAGATAAAAAATAAGAAGTGTTTTTATAGTGTGAGGATAAGTTTAGATTTATTTTTTCCTACGTGTAACCCTATGGTCCTGTGTTATTTGTTGAGAAAATATTCTATTCCACCTTAAACTACATGGCAGCCTTTGTCAACTATAAAGGGACTGTGTATCCACAGATGTATTTTAGACACAGTTTTCTGTCCAGTGGTTCTCTGTATCCCCTCTCATGAGGATGCTGCATTTTATATAAACTTATAGAACCCCTTAAAATTTGGTAACCTGAGTCCTCTGATTTGTTATTATAGGTTATTTAGTTTGCTTTTTTTTTTTTTCTTGAGACAGACTCTTCCTCTGTCACCCAAGCTGGAGTTCAGTGGCTTGAGCTCAGCTCACTGCAACCTCCGTCTCCCAGGTTCAAGCTATTCTGATGCCTCTGGTTTAGTAGTAGAAACTCAAGCAGGAAAATTAGAATGGCTTCTTGTCACAATTACTCTGATAATGTTAATAATACCTGTTAGACATTTTGCACATTACATATGAAGAAGAGTTTGAATCTCAGATAAAAACAAAAATACATCAAAAATCTTTAATGTAAGCACAGAATTCAATCATCTCGTGTATGAGAGGTTGGATCTGAGACGTCTTTTGAGTCTGGTCGTAGTGAAGGACGCAAGGTGTCAATTCTAGTGAGAACAATTTCCAGGAAGCCATGTTCCGCTCTTGAGCGAGCACCCACTGGGCCTCATGCAAGGTAGAAAGAGCCTGCGTACGTCACCCTCCCATGATGTGGTCAACATGTAAACTGCATGGGCAGGGCGCCAAATAACATCCTGTGCGCTGCTGAGCTGAGCTGGGGCGCGGCCGCCTGTCTGCACAGACAGCACCATGTCGCTCATGGTCGTCAGCATGGTGTGTGTTGGTGAGTCCTGGAAGGGCATCGAGGGAGGGAGTGCGGGGATGGAGATCGGGGCCCAGAGTTGGAGATATAGGCCTGGAAGTGGAGTTATGGGCCTAGAGATGGAGTGATGGGCCTAGAAGTGGAGATCTGGGCCTGGAGTGGAGATCTGGGCCTGGAGTGGAGATATGGGCCTGGAGGTTGAGATATGGGCCTGCAGTAGAGATATGGGCTTGTAGTGGAGACATGGGCCTGGAGATGGAGATATGGGCCTGGAGATGGAGATATGGGCCTGCAGTAGAGATAGGGGCCTGGAGTGGAGATATGGGCCTGGAGTGGAGATATGGGCCTGGAGTGGAGATATGGGCCTGGAGGTGGAGATATGGGCCTGGAGGTGGAGATATGGGCCTGGAGTGGAGATATGGGTCTGGAGGTGGAGATACGGGCCTGCAGTAGAGATATGGGCCTGGAGTGGAGATATGGGCCAGGAGTGGAGTTATGGGCCTAGAGGTGGATATCTGGGCCTGGAGTGGAGATATGGGCCTAGGAAGGAGATATGGGCCTGGGTGTGGAGATATGGGACTGGAGAGGTGATATGGGCCTGGAGTGGAGATATGGGCTTAGGGTGGAGATCTGGGCCTGGGGCGGAGATATGGGACTGGATTGGAGATAGGGGCCTAGGGTGGAGATCTGAGCCTGGATTGGCGATATGGGCCTAGGGTGGAAATATCAGCCTGGAGTGGAGATATGGGCTTGGGGTGGGGATATGGGCCTGGAAACTGGGTCTCTGCACAGCCGACAGCCCTGTTCTTGGGTGCAGGTAGGCACTGAGGGTGAGTTTAACTTCAGCCCAGGAAGGGCCTGGCTGCCAAGACTCACAGCCCAGTGGGGGCAGCAAGGGAGGCCTGGTTTGCCTGCAGATGGATGGTCCATCATGATCTTTCTTTCCAGGGTTCTTCTTGCTGCAGGGGGCCTGGCCACATGAGGGTGAGTCCTTCTCCAAACCTTCGGGTGTCATCTCCCCACATAAGAGGATTTTCCTGAAACAGGAGGGAAGTCCTGTCGGGGAGTCTCTCATAAACTAGGAAGAGAGGACCCTGGGGTGCTCAGCCCACATTTCTGACCTCGCCTCCCTGGCCTCTCAACCCCTTGGCAGAGTCAAGTTCTGTGGGGACCAGGGTTAGACTGGGGTGCTCAAAGCTGGGGTGTGTGGTTGGGAAGTGGTAGGAACAGCAGATCCTCTGAGGACAAAGGTGTTACTCACACACTTCAGCGTTTCCATGATGGTAGGGGCTGCAGTGTGGCTGCTGTCATTCTACCAGAAGAGGTGGGAAACCACAGCCATGGCCCTGACATTCCAAATCCTCTGATGGGGGCTCAGTTGTTTATTTTCGTTCAGGCATCCGCTGATATCCATTCACAAAGGACATGCCCTCCACCTCATGTCTACCCTGTGTTGTTTTATGTGAGTAATCTTACAGTATTAAAATCTAGTAGGAGTCTCTTTACTCAGCACTTGCTCAAAGTTCTCAGCTGAGGCTTTTGTTGTAGGGAGACACCATGTCTTTGCGGGATGGGTCCTTCCTTCAGCCCTGGGCACCAAGGTGTGATAGTAGCCATAGAAACGTGGAAAGCGAGGAGAATCTTCTGAGCACAGGGAGGGAAGGGCAGTTCCACATCCTCCTCTCTAAGGCGGCGCCTCCTTCTCCCCAAGGTGGTCAGGACAAGCCCTTGCTGTCTGCCTGGCCCAGCCTTGTGGTGCCTCTAGGACATGTCATTCTTCGGTGTCACTCTTATCTTGGGTTTAACAACTTCAGTCTGTAAAAGGAAGGTGGGGTGCCTGTCCCTGAGCTCTACAACAGAATATTCTGGAACAGCCTTTTCATGGGCCCTGTGACCCCCGCACACACAGGGACATACAGATGTCGGGGTTCACACACACACTCCCCCAGTGGGTGGTCAGCACCCAGCAACCCCCTGGTGATCGTGGTCATAGGTCAGAGGGCTCCTGTCTTGGATTCTCCTTGTCCCACCTCCTGAATCCCAGAGCTTCTGTTGGGCATGTCCTTGAGGGTCCCATCACGCAGGCCCTGACTGTATTTGTGGTAAAGGGGGATTGAATACAGGGAAATGGGTGCTGTGGTGGGAAGAATAATTGTCCCCAGTGATGACTACATTCTAATCCCTGGAGTCTGTGACTATTTATGTTATAGGGGAAGGGACTGAAGGGGAAGATGGAGCTCATGGGGAGACAGCCTGGACTGTCCCACTGGGCTCAGTGTAATCACAAGGGTGCACATGAAAGGAGGAGGAAGAGGGGAGTGGGGATTAGAGCAGTCCAGTGGAAGTCTTCACCAGCTTTGAAGGTGGAGGAAGGCCAAGATCCATGAATGCAGGTGGCCTATAGAGGCTGGAAAAGTCAAGGAACTGATTCTCCAGAGTCTCCAGAGGGAACAAAGCCCTGCAGATGCCTTGATTTTAGCCCAGGAAAAATAGGGTCCAATTTCTGTCTCCAGTACTGGAAGGTGTCAGTGTGGTCTCTCCTGCTGCCATGCTTCTGATAATTTTCTACAGCAGCAACAGGAAACCAACACTGGAACCCAGGTCAAGGACAAGTTAAGAAACAACCCAAGGAAAGCCAGGCATGGTGGCAGGTGCATGTAATCCTAGCGACTCAGGAGGCTGAGGGCAGGAGAATCACTTGAACCCAGGAGACAGAGGTTGCAGTGAGCCTAGACCACACCACTTCACTCCAGCCTGGGTGAAGGAGTGAGACTCTGTCTCCATAATTAATTAATTAATTAAAGAAACCAAACAAGGAGAAGGTTGGCTACCCTGAGATCAGCAAGGGTGGGATGATGATGCCACCACCAGGCTCCATCCACATAGGGAGGGGTTGATACTCCTCCAACCAGCACCAGGAGCCAGCCTATGGAAGCTGGCACCATGGAGAAGGCACAGGCATGGCAAGAGTGGCTCCCAGTCCCCACCAGGAACAGGGTGTGTGGACACTGGTGCCTGCCTTATTCATCAGTTCATACCTTCTGCCAAGGATTGCAATTCATCCAAAAGAGATTGAACCAGGCTGATAAGAGCCTGGATGTGCAGCCTATCCTGGTTCCTCTTTCACCCCCACATAAACAGCAGGAAATACATTAGTGTGAAATAGATACAACACCCCAAGAGATGAGGCTCAGCCCAGTGGGAAGGGAATCAGAGGCTACTAGAGACAGAGGGACAGAGAAGAGGGAGGGAGACAGATGGAAGGACCTGCACCAGGAGTTAAGGGCACAGAAAAGAACATGAAGACACAGAGAGGAAGGAGAGAGACAGACACCAGCAAGGGGAAGCCTCACTCATTCTAGGTGCCATGGATGGGATGATAAAGAGAGACACCTTCTAAACTCACAACCTCTCTTCCTAGGAGTCCACAGAAAACCTTCCCTCCTGGCCCACCCAGGTCCCCTGGTGAAATCAGAAGAGACAGTCATCCTGCAATGTTGGTCAGATGTCAGGTTTCAGCACTTCCTTCTGCACAGAGAAGGGAAGTTTAAGGACACTTTGCACCTCATTGGAGAGCACCATGATGGGGTCTCCAAGGCCAACTTCTCCATCGGTCCCATGATGCAAGACCTTGCAGGGACCTACAGATGCTACGGTTCTGTTACTCACTCCCCCTATCAGTTGTCAGCTCCCAGTGACCCTCTGGACATCGTCATCACAGGTGAGAGTGTCCGGACATTCTCATTGTCATTGGGATGCAGAGTGAATGATCCACGACTTGGAACCCCCAGGTAGTTGTAAGGAAGATGAGCTTGGTATTCTTATGGAGAGAGACTGACTTGCTGAGGTTTGTACCAACAGAGACAGAGAAACAGGAGACACAAGTACAGACCAGGTGTCATAACAGAGGACAGACACAGGGGCCATACAGGGAGTTAGAAAAGACAGAAAGAGTTAAAAGAGACAGACAGACAGACATGTCCCAGAGAGAGGTGTCCCTCCATGCTGACTTTGCTCACAGACCTGGCACAGGTTAGAAGTTTCATTTCTGTTTTACCTCCACAAAGTGTTCTCTACCAGGAGAACCCAAGGACACCCATATTTATGACCTGAGTTGGGCCCTGTGGCCTCAGGCCTTGTGGCACCTACAGGCCATGTTTATTCTGACACCTCTGCCTTCCATGTAATGGAGAGTAATCGTCCCAGGATATCATGGCCCCAGAACACCAACCCCTGTATGCTGTGTGAACTTGTGGTCTCCAGACTGGATTCTGTGGCTCACATTCCAAATAACCCCACATATGAAAGGATCACTGAGAGGCACAGAGAAAAATCAGGAACACCAAAAAGCAAAGACATAAACACACAGAGAATGAGCCAGAGGAAGGAGATTGAGAGACTCACAGACACATAAAGAGAGAGAAAAGAGGGCAGAGGAGTGGTGAGAATGATGGCAGGGAGCAGAGAAAAGCACTAAAATTAGAGTCCTGAGAGAGAGGCACAAGGACATAGAAACATGGAGATGTGGGGATGAATTGCAGAGATTCCAAAGAGAACTAGAGAGACCGAGAGGCAGAGCAAGACAGATGATAGATGGATAGATATAGATAGATGATAAATAGGTAGATGATAGATAATAGGTTAAAGATACATAGATGATGATTGATTGATTCATTAATAGATAATACATAGAGATGATGATGATGAAGACAGATAATACGTACAGATAGAGAGGCAGACAGAAATCATAGAGAGAGAGATGATACATACATATAAATAACAGATGATTGATGGATAGATAGACAAGTGATAGATACATAGATGATATATAGATATAGATGACAGGTAGAGAATTTGTAGATAGGCACCGAATAGATAAATAGATAGATCGACAGATAATAGATAGAAATATGCAGAAAGTTATGAACAGGACACAACGTGAGAAACTTAGAATTTAAAAAAGTAACATCAAGTCAACCAATCCAAGGAGAGTCAGAGAGAATAAAAGAATCCAAAAAGGGAAAACATATCTAGAGGTGGGGAAGCGAGGTCAGAGACCTAGAGAGACAGAGAAGGTGGAAGAAGGAAATAGACATGAAGAGAGATGGGGTGGAGGGTGAGAGAGAGAGAGAGAGAGAGCATTAGGTCATAGAGCAGGGGAGTGAGTTCTCAGCTCAGGTGAAGGGAGCTGTGACAAGGAAGATCCTCCGTAAGGAAAATGCCTCTTCTCCTCCAGGTCTATATGAGAAACCTTCTCTCTCAGCCCAGCCGGGCCCCACGGTTCTGGCAGGAGAGAGCGTGACCTTGTCCTGCAGCTCCCGGAGCTCCTATGACATGTACCATCTATCCAGGGAGGGGGAGGCCCATGAACGTAGGTTCTCTGCAGGGCCCAAGGTCAACGGAACATTCCAGGCCGACTTTCCTCTGGGCCCTGCCACCCACGGAGGAACCTACAGATGCTTCGGCTCTTTCCGTGACTCTCCATACGAGTGGTCAAACTCGAGTGACCCACTGCTTGTTTCTGTCACAGGTGAGGAAACCCCATATCTGTCTCATGTCCTATGATCCTAGAGCCTTAGCTGAGGAGCTTCCTGCTGATGATGGAGAGAAGCATGGACAGATGCAGAGAGAAGACGAAGCTTGGGTGTGAGGGAGGGATCAGGGCACAGGATGGCAGACAGGGCACCTCCAAACCCTCCTACACGGCCTGCATGAAGGCCCGCGGCCAGGGCTCCAGGCACACAGGCAGATGGAGAAAACGGTCAGGAGAGACCCAGAGGAGAGAGACTGGGCTCAGTTTGGGAAGATCAGAGGTTCCCTCAGCCCCTCAACATTACCCATTTCCCAGAAGCCCATCCTGGCCTCTCACCCACACAGGGATGTCATCACCAGCAACCCCTACACCCTTTACTTTTGTTTGAAGAAATATTTATTGAGGATAAATATACCTATATAGCTTACCACCTTTAACATTTTTTTTTTTTTTGAGGCAGAGTCTAGCTCTGTCCCCTATGCTGGAGTGCAGTGGCACAATCTCAGCTCACTGCAACTTCCGCCTCCTGGGTTCAAGTGATTCTCCTGCTTCAGCCACCTGAGTAGCTGGTGCTACAGGCGCGCACCACCACGCCAGGCTACTTTTTGTATTTTTAGTAGAGAGGGGGTTTCACCATGTTGGTCGAGCTGGTCTCCAACTCCTGACCACGTGATCCACCCGCATCTGCCTCCCAAAGTGCTGGGATTACAGGCATGAGCCACCACGCCCAGCCACATTTACCATTTTTAAGTGTAAAGTCTAGTGGTCATAAATACATTAATATATATATATATACACATATTTTTTTTTACCCTCCACCCTTTTCTTCCTGGCCTCTGGTAGCCACCATTCTACTCTCTACCTTCATGAGATCCACCTTTTAGCTCCTGTATATGGGTAAGAAATGGGAATCTTTGTAATGACCTCCAGTTCCATCCATGTGGCTGCAAATATCAGGATGTTTTTCTTTCTATGGAAGAGTAGTCTCCACTATGCAAATGTACCACATTCTCTCTATCCATTCACCCACTGATGGGCAGGTAGGTTGACTCCTCATCTTGGCTACTGTGAAGAGTGCTGCACCAATCATACGAGTGCAGATATCACTTCGATATATTGATTTACTTTCCTTTGGATATAAACCCAGTAGTGAAATTGCTGGATACTATGAAAGTTCTCTTTTTAGTTTTTCGTTTGTTGTTTTGTTTTTGTTTTTGAGACAGTTTCCCTCTGTGCCCAGGCTGGAGTACAAGTGATGTCATCTTGGCTCATTGCAACCTCTGCCTCCTGGGTTCAAATGATTTTCCTGCCTCAGCCTCCCTAGTATCAGGGATTATAGGCGCACGCCACCATGCCTGGCTACTTTTTGTTTTTTTTAGTATAGATGCGGTTTCCCCATGTTGGCTGGGCTGCTCTCAAACTCATGACCTCAACTGAGGTGCCCGCCTCGGTCTCCCAAAGTGCCGGGATTACAGGCATGATCCACCTCACCCAACCTCTTTTTAGTTCTTTAAAGGACTTCCACACTTTTCTCCGTAATGGCTGTACTAATTTACACTCCTACCAACAGGATACCAGGATTCTCCTTTCTCTAACACCTTGCCAGCATTTCTTTTGCCTGTCTTGCAGCTAAAAGCCATTTTATTTTATTTCATTTTATTTTGAGATGGAGTTTCGCTCTTGTCACCCAGGCTGAGTGCAGTGGTGCGATCTCGGCTCACCACAACCTCCACCTCCCAGGTTCAAGCGATTCTCCTGCCTCAGCCTCCCGAGTAGCTGGAATTACAGGCACACGCCACCACGCCCGACTAATTTTTGTATTTTTAGTAGAGACAGTGTTTCTCCATGTGGGTCAGACTGGTCTCAAACTCCCGACCTTATGAGATTCACCCACCTCAGGCTCTCAAAGTTCTAGGATGACAGACGTGAGCCACCACGCCCGGCCTAAAAGCCATTTTAATGGGGTGAGATGAAAACTCACTTTGATTTTAATTTGTGTTTCTCTGATGATGAGTGATACTGAGCACTTTTTCGTATGTGGGGAAATTTCATGTCTTTTGCTCCTGTTTCAATTAAATCATTTGTTTTATTGAGTTGTTTGAGCTTCTTATATTTCTAGTTATTAATCCCATCTCAGATGCATAGTTTGCACATATTTGCTCCCAATCTGTGGGTTGTCTCTTCACTTTGTTGGTTTATTTTTAGCGGTGCAGAAGTTGCTTAGTTTGAGGTAATCCCAATGGTCTATTTTTGCTTCGATTACTTGTGTTTTGAAGGTTTAAAACAAAATGTCTTCCTTCAGACAAACGTCCTGGAGCATTTCCCCAATATTTTCTTCTACGTGTTTCATAGGTTCAGGCCTTAGACTCACATCTTTAATCCATTTTCATTTGATTTTTGTGTATAGTGACAGGCAGAGGTGCAGTTTCATTCCTCTGCATGTCGATGTCCAGGTTTCCCTGCACTGTTTATTGAAAAGACTGTCCTTTCCTGATTGTGAGTTCTTGGCACCTTTGTCAAAGTCCATTGGATGGGCTGGGCATGGTGGCTGACACCTGCAATTTCAGCACTTTGGGAGCCCGAGGTGGGTGGATCACCTGAGGCCAAGAGTTCAAGATTAGTCTGGCCAACGTGATGAAACATCGTCTCCACTAAAAATATAAAAATTAGCTGAGCATGGTGGTCAGCACCTGTAATACCACTACTCAGGAGTTTGAGGCAAGAGAAGTGATTGAACCCAGGAGGCTGTGGTGGCAGTGAACCGAGATTGCACCTCTGCACTCCAGCCTGGGTGACAGAGCAAGACTCCATCTCAAAAGAAAAACAAAAAATACATTGGAGGTAAATGCATGGATTATATCTGTGTTATTCATTCTGCTCCGTTGTTCTATGTGCCTTTCTTCATGCCAACGTCATGCTGTCTTGCTTACTACAGCTCTGTAACATATTTTGAGATCAGGTAGTGTGATGCTCCTGTTTTCTCTTTATACCTTGAAGTCTCAAGACAGTAGCCGTCACATACAAAAATTACGGAAAAAAGGATCCCAGGACTCCCAGGGCCCAATATTAGATAACAGAGTGTTGGCCATGAACCAACCTCAAAGATTTCCACTGAGTAGAGGACAGACACCCTCATTTCCTCACCTCTCTCCTGTCTCATGTTCTAGGAAACCCTTCAAATAGTTGGCCTTCACCCACTGAACCAAGCTCCAAAACCGGTGAGTACAGAACCCTCTTATATCCGCTTTTGGAAACCTGGGGAGGTGGAAACCTTGGATTCAGGCGTTGACTCAGCATCTCACAGCTCTGACATTGTACGCCTGTCTTCTACCATCTCCAAACTCCAGATACTCCAACAGCGAAAGGGATCTGGACCCAAAACAGGGCTCTGTGAAATCTCTTAATCTCTCATTTTATGGAGCTGAGATCTCCTACAAGCTAGAAAAATGATTGGCAATCTGACATCCTTCTCAGGAAAAATGCAATGTTTGTTCTGCCTGCATTCCTAACTGGAGGATAAATTCCTGGGGGCTTGAGAGAGGGAAGGGTAGGGAACATTTGATGAGGGCGAGGTGTTTTAGAGAAGTTCCACTTGCCCAGGAATGAATTACTGTTGGTCATGAAGCAACCCTGGCTGACTCAGCAGAGCAAGAGCTTTGCCTTAACAGAGAACGGAGCTCATGCACGCACACTTCGACTCACTGACTCATTCAGCCACGGCCCCATGCTCAGGCCGTGGAAAAGGCAATTCCCAGCACTGCAGGAGGCCAAGGCGGGTGGATCACTTGAAGTCAGGAGTTCCAGACCAGCCTGGCCAAAATGGTGAAACCCTGTCTCTATGAAAAATACAAAAATTAGCCGAGCATGGTGGTGCATCCCTGTAATCCCAGCTCCTACTCTTGAGGATGAAGCAGGAGAACGACTTCAACCCAGGAGGTGGAGGTTGCAGTGAGTGGAGATTGCATCACTGCACTCCAGCCTGGGTGACACAAGGAGACTCCGTCTCAAAAAATAAAAATAAGAAATGCATAAATATAATAAAACACACACGAATGACAAAGGCACCTGAATTCCAATCATCATTTTTGTATTTCTCTATAATTACTTCTTTGATCCTTTGTCTTATCCATTAGGCAATGAGCCTAAAACCTCTTCCGTATTTGGCTTTCTGTGAGCATGAGACCATATAGAAAATGTGAAAGCCTGCTGAATCCTCCAGCACAGATCGTGGAATAGAGAAAGTGCTCTGTTCATCACAAAAAAAACTTGCCCTCTCACTCAAATCCCCCACTTCACCCCTACTTCCAATCACCTGTGGAGATTCAGATAGACCATGGGGAGGTAAACATTAATACTCCTTGGAGTGAGTCCAGATCTTGGAATGAGAGATCAGCACCAGCACTAGCTCCTGCTCCCCTTTCCTACTAATTCACAGGAGGACAGGTGGTATTGAAGCAATAGATGGTGGAGGGGGTGGTCCTTCCCCCAGCCTCTCAGGTAGAACAGCAGCCTAACATGTGTCTCCCGAGATCACAAAGAGTAGGACGTTTCACAGGGGCTTCAACACGATTTCCTGGCTGTTGGACATAAGATAACTCTATTTCGCTTTTTTATCTTGATTTCACTTTTGTTTCCTTTCCTTGGAGAACGCAAGTTGTTTGACTCAAGAATGCTGTGGATGTAGAAATCCTAAAGCACATTCGCTGTGTGTCAATCCCAGTGCAGTCTTCCCAGAAAAGACCCTAAACACCTCCTAGACTGCACCTGGGCCTACGCCAATTCCTATCACTCACCGTCACTCCAGGGAGACAGAACACACAGAGAATACGTTACATAGGCAGGTTCATTACTAACAGATAAGCAGCGAGTGAAAACAGAAGCCTACATTTCAATGTGAGCCAGTCCCTCAAGGCTCAGAAAAGCTGCTCGGGACATATGGAGTCACCCCATTTGCAGTGTAGCTGGGGGAAGCCAGAAAGCAGCCCAGCCTGGGTTTTGTACCCTGGAGCCACAGGAAGCACTCAGCTAAAGCACTGCATGACGTCCTCCTCCAGGAAGAACAGGAAGACAGCCCAGGCTGCTCTGGGACGTTCCTCCTGATCTCAGGACGTTGCTGTCTTAGTCCATTTTTGTTGCTCTAAAGGAACACTTGAGCCTGGGCAACTTCTAAAGAAAAGAGATTGGTTTGCCTCACCGTTCTGCAGGCTGTACTGGAAGCATGGCACCAGCATCTATTTCTCGTGATGGCCTCAGGCTGCTCCCACTCTGGCAGAAGGGAAGGAGGGTCTGTCTGTGCAGAGACCACAGAGATCACACGGCAAGAGAGGGAGCAAGGGGGAGGGGGAGCGATGGAGCTTCCAAGTTCTTTTGAACAACCAGCTCTCCAGGAACTAATAGAGGGGGAACTAGCTAACCCCGTCTCCTTGGGACAGCATTGATCTGTTCATGATGGATCCACCTCCATGACCCAAACACCTCTCAAGAGGCCCAACCTCCCACAATGGGGGTGAAATTTCAATGTGAGGTTTGAAGGGGTCAAACATCTCAACTAAAGTAGTTGTGTCCTCAGCACATTCTATGGTTACTTTGAGAGCTATAACTGAGAAAGCAGGAGAAAGCTGGGTCTCCCGCCATCTGGGTGCTTGTCCTAAAGAGGTGTTTTACGTGGTTACCTGTCAATCAAGAAATGCGAGACAATTCATAAAGAGGAACTGCTATGATTAGCTTCTTATTGGTGTCTCATCTTCTTCCAGGTAACCCAAGACACCTGCACGTTCTGATTGGGACCTCAGTGGTCATCATCCTCTTCATCCTCCTCCTCTTCTTTCTCCTTCATCGCTGGTGCTCCAACAAGAAAAGTAAGTCTCACGAAGGAGAGGCCAGAGAGCTCAGGGCCATGTGGGGAAGCAGGATGGGAGCACTCAGGTGTGTGTTCCTCACAGGTAGGATGGTCCCTGGCCCAAGGCAGCAGCCACAGAGGCAGGACTTTCTAGAGAGGGCACCAGACTCCCTGTCCCTGCTTTCAGCTCACAGACCGTTGCCTGATTCTGAACTGTATCCTCATGTCCCCTGCAGCCACTCACATCCAGGAGAAGGTTCCATGACAGGCAGAAAGTGGGAGACAGAATCAATGGGATGGGAACTCAGAGCTATTCATGGGATGGGTCCTTGAGCTCAGAGAGATAGAATGTCTGAGTCTGCTGTTGGCAACTGAGGGACCTCAGGCACCTATGGCCTCCCCCTGTTTGTTGGTATCTGCTTATGAAATGAGGACCCAGAAGTGCCCTCCGAGCTCTTTTGTTGACTTCCGTCTCCTACACATGCTGCTGTAATGGACCAAGAGCCTGCAGGGAACAGAACAGCGAATAGCGAGGTAGGTGCTCCTCGGCCCAGCCTCGTGGCTAGTGTTATTCCCAAACAGTCCTGGAAAACGTGAGCACCCTCCCTCACTCAGGATTTCCCTCTCTCCAGGACTCTGATGAACAAGACCCTCAGGAGGTGACATACGTACAGTTGGATCACTGCGTTTTCACACAGAGAAAAATCACTCGCCCTTCTCAGAGGCCCAAGACACCCCCAACAGATACCAGAGTGTACACGGAACTTCCAAATGCTGAGTCCAGATCCAAAGTTGTCTCCTGCCCATGAGCACCACAGTCAGGCCTTGAGGGGATCTTCTAGGGAGACAACAGCCCTGTCTCAAAACCGGGTTGCCAGCTCCCATGTACCAGCAGCTGGAATCTGAAGGCGTGAGTCTGCATCTTAGGGCATCGCTCTTCCTCACACCACAAATCTGAATGTGCCTCTCTCTTGCTTACAAATGTCTAAGGTCCCCACTGCCTGCTGGAGAGAAAACACACTCCTTTGCTTAGCCCACAATTCTCCATTTCACTTGACCCCTGCCCACCTCTCCAACCTTACTGGCTTACTTCCTAGTCTACTTGAGGCTGCAATCACACTGAGGAACTCACAGTTCCAAACATACAAGAGGCTCCCTCTTAACACGGCACTTAGACACGTCCTGTTCCACCTTCCCTCATGCTGTTCCACCTCCCCTCAGAGTATCTTTCAGCCTTCTGTCAGCAGTAAAACTTATATATTTTTTAAAATAATTTCAATGTAGTTTTCCCTCCTTCAAATAAACATGTCTGCCCTCATGGTTTCGGTAATGGGACTCTTTTCTTGCCTAAGACTTCCATTATCATTACCATGTCCACATAACCCCATCTGTTCTCCACTGGGTTCTCACCCCCGGACTCTGAGTTTCTGGAAGCAGGGTGGAGCCTCATTTGTCTCTGGGACTCCTATTTCCATCCAAAGATGTAGCACATAGGAGGTTCCAAGGATCGTGAATCACATGAACAAGTGATATTCTTACTCTCTGCAGACCTGGAAATCTGGCAGAGTCATTCCAAGATGAAACATTTGTAGAATCATAGGCCTTGTTAGTCTCATCTACACAGGGACACATATCAACACATCATCTTTCACACTATAAATATACAGTCACTCCTCCATATCTGTGGGGTTTACAGTTCTTTATTGAACCGAGTATAAATCAAAAATATTCAGAGAAAGTATCCACAGAGTTACAAAAAGCAGAACTGTGTTGAATGGACACAAATGAAGCTGTGTGTAGGCTGCATCAGGAATTATAAGTAATCTAGAGATGATTTCATGTATACAGGAGGATGTGCATAGGTTATTTGCAAACTCTGTGCCATTTCATATAAGAGGCTTGAGCATCTACAGATTTTGGTATCTGAGTGGAGATCTCGAAACCAATCACCCACGAATAGTGAAGGATGACCGTATATGACTTTTATTTCTCAAATTTAAATATAAATCATAAAAAATGTACAACTAGATAAAAACTAAGAAGTGTTTTTATAGTGTGAGTTAGATTTATTTTTTCCTAGGTATAACCCATTGGTTTAATATTATTTATTGAGAAGACATTCTATGCCACCTTAAACCACACGGCAGCCTTTGTCAACTCTAAAGGGACTGTGTGTACACGGATGTACTTTAGACACTGTTTCTGCTAAGGGGCTCTCTGTGTCCACACTCTTGATGATGCTGCACTTTATGTAGCCTTATAGAACCCTTTAAATTTAGTAGCCAGAGCTCTCTAATTTGTTATTATAGGCTATTTGCTTTTTTTTCTTGAGGCGGAGTCTTGCTCTGTCGCCCAGGCTGGACTGCAGTGACACAATCTCAGCTCACTGCAACTTCTGCCTCCCAGGTTCAAGCGATTCTCATGCCTCAGCCTCTTGAGTAGCTGGCGTTACAGGTGCCTGCCACCAGGCACGGCTAATTTTTGGATTTTTAGCAGAGACACGGTTTCACTATATTGGCCAGGCTGCTCTCAAACTCCTTATCTCAGTTGATCCGCCCACCTCGGCTTCCCAACGTGCTGGGGAAACTTGATTTTCTATAGCATTATGTTACTGGATATTTCTGTAAAATTTAAAATGAGGGAGGGAGAGAGACAGACGGAAAACAAACTCCAGAGTTGGGACTCTGGAATCTTGGGTCATGAGACAAATTTTAGATTAAACTACAAAACTCCAGAATTTACAGGTGGGGTTTTTACTGATAAAGTACAATTCTAAGATTGTAAATAATTGCATAATCCTTCCCTGGGAATTTAAATCATTTTAACTGGTTCTGCTGTAATACTAGAAATACAAGCATGAAAAATTCTAATGGTTTATTAGTGACAATGACTCTGAAAACATTAATAATACCTATTAGATATTTTGCATATTACACAGGAAGAAGAGTTTGAATCTCAGATAAAAACAATAGAAATACATGAAAAGTCTTTCATGTTAGCACAGATTTTAGGCATCTCGTGTTCGGGAGGTTGGATCTCAGACGTGTTTTGAGTTGGTCATAGTGAAGGACACTAGGTGTCAAATTCTAGCGAGAACAATTTCCAGGAAGCCGTGTTCCGCTCTTGAGCGAGCACCCACTGGGCCTCATGCAAGGTAGAAAGAGCCTGCGTACGTCACCCTCCCATGATGTGGTCAACATGTAAACTGCATGGGCAGGGCGCCAAATAACATCCTGTGCGCTGCTGAGCTGAGCTCGGTCGCGGCTGCCTGTCTGCTCCGGCAGCACCATGTCGCTCTTGGTCGTCAGCATGGCGTGTGTTGGTGAGTCCTGGAAAGCAATAGAGGGAGGGAGTGAGGGGATGGAGATCTGGGCCCAGAGGTGGAGATATAGGCCTGGAGGTGGAGTTATGGGCCTGGAGTGGAGATCTGGGCCTGGAGTGGATATATGGGCCTAGAGATGGAGTGATGGGCCTAGAAGTGGAGATCTGGGCCCAGAGGTCGAGATATAGGCCTGGAGGTGGAGTGATGGGACTGTAGTGGAGATCTGGGCCTGGAGTGGAGATAGGAACCTGGAGGGGAGATAGGAACCTGGAGGGGAGATATGGGCCTGGAGGTGGAGATATGGGCCTGGAGTGGAGTCATGGGCCTGGAGGTGGAGTTATGGGCCTGCAGTAGAGATATGGGCCTGAAGTGGAGACATGGGCCTGGAGTGGAGATATGGGCCAGGAGTGGAGATATGGGCCTAGAGGTCGATATCTGGGCCTGGAGTGGAGATATGGGCCAGGAGTGGAGATATGGGCCTAGAGGTCGATATCTGGGCCTGGAGAGGAGATATGTGCCTAGGATGGAGATACGGGCCTGGGTGTGGAGATATGGGACTGGAGAGGATATATGGGCCTGGAGTGGAGATATGGGACTGGAGAGGAGATATGGACCTGGAGTGGAGATAAGGGCCTGGATTGGAGATATGGGCCCAGGGTGGAGATCTGAGCCTGGATTGGAGATATGGGCCTGGATTGGCGATATGGGCTTAGGGTGGAAATATCGGCCTGGAGTGGAGATATGGGCCTGGAGTGGAGATATGGGCTTGAGGTGGGGATATGGACCTGGAGGCTGGGTCTCTGCACAGCCGACAGCCCTGTTCTTGGGTGCAGGTAGGCACTGAGGGTGAGTTTACCTTCAGCCCAGGAAGGGCCTGGCTACCAAGACTCACAGCCCAGTGGGGGCAGCAAGGGTGCCCTGGTTTGCCTGCAGATGGGTCATCCATCATGATCTTTCTTTCCAGGGTTCTTCTTGCTGCAGGGGGCCTGGCCACATGAGGGTGAGTCCTTCTCCCAACCTTCGGGTGTCATCTCCCCACATAAGAGGATTTTCCTGAAATGGGAGGGAAGTCCTGTCAGGGAGTCTCTCATAAACTAGGAAGAAGGGACCCTGGGGTGCTGGGCCCACATTTCTGACCTTGCCTCCCTGGCCTTTCATTCCCTTGGCAGAGTCAAGTTCTGTGGGGACCAGGGTTAGACTACGGTGCTCAAAGCTGGGGTGTGTGGTGGGGAAGTGGTAGGAACAGCAGATCCTCTGAGGACAAAGGTGTTACTCACACACTTCAGCGTTTCCATGACGGTAGGGGCTGCAGTGTGGCTGCTGTCATTCTACCAGAAGAGGTGGGAAAACCACAGCCATGGCCCTGACATTCCAATCCTCTGATGGGGACTCAGTTGTTTATTTTCGTTCAGGCATCGGCTGATATTCCATTCTCAAAGGACATGCCCTCCACCCCATGTCTACCCTGTGTTGTTTTATGTGAGTAATCTTACAGTATTAAAATCTAGTAGGAGTCTCTTACTCAGCACTTGCTCAAAGTTCTCAGCTGACACTTTTGTTGTAGGGAGACACCTTGTGTTTGCGGGATGGGTCCTTCCTTTAGCCCTGGGCACCAAGGTGTGATAGCAGCCATAGAAACTTGGAAAGCGAGGAGAATCTTCAGAGCACAGGGAGGGAGGGGCGGCTCCACATCCTCCTCTCTAAGGCGGTGCCTCCTTCTCCCCACGGTGGTCAGGACAAGCCCTTGCTGTCTGCCTGGCCAAGCCCTGTGGTGCCTCCAGGACATGTGATTCTTCAGTGTCATTCTTATCTTGGGTTTAACAACTTCAGTCTGTAAAAGGAAGATGGGGTGCCTGTCCCTGAGCTCTACAACATAATATTCTGGAACAGCCTTTTCATGGGCCCTGTGACCCCAGCACACGCAGGGACCTATACATGTCGGGGTTCACAACCACACTACCCCAGTGGGTGGTCGGCACCCAGCAACCCCCTGGAGATCACGGTCACAGGTCAGAGGGCTCCTGTCTGGGATTCTCCTTGTCCCACCTCCTGAATCCCAGAGCTCCTGGTGGGCGTGTCCTTGCGGGTCCCATCATGCAAGTCCTGACTGTATTTGGGGTAAAGGGGGATTGAATACAGGGAAATGGGTGCTGTGGTGGGAAGAATAATTGTCCCCAGTGATGACTACATTCTAATCCCTGGAGTCTGTGACTATTTATGATATAGGGGAAGGGACTGAAGGAGAAGATGGAGCTCAGGTTGTTGATGAGTTGACCTTGAGATGGGGAGACAGCCTGGACTGTCCTGATGGGCTCAGTGTAGTCACAGGGGTCCACAGGAAAGGAGGAGGAAGAGGGGAGTGGGGATTACAGCAGCATAATGGGAGTCTCCATCAGCTTTGAAGGTGGAGGAAGTCCAGGAGCCATGAATGCAGGTGGCCTATAGAGGCTGGAAAAGTCAAGGAACTGATTCTCCTGAGTCTCCAGAGGGAACGAAGCCCTGCAGGTACCTTGATTTTACCCACGACAAACAGGGTCCGATTTCTGTCTCCAGAATTGGAAGGGGTTAGTGTGCTCTCTCCTGCTGCCATGCTTCTGATAATTTTCTACAGCAGCAACAGGAAACCAACACTGGAACCCAGGTCAAGGACAAGTTAAGAAACAACACAAGGATAGCCAGGCATGGTGGCAGGTGCATGTAATCCTAGCGACTTGGGAGGCTGAGGGCAGGAGAATCACTTGAACCCAGGAGACAGAGGTTGCAGTAAGCCTAGACCACACCACTTCACTCCAGCCTGGGCAAAGGAGTGAGACTCTGTCGCCAAAATTAATTAATTAATTAAAGAAACCAAACAAGGAGAAGGTTGGCTACACTGAGATCAGCAAGGCTCGGATGATGATGCCACCACCAGGCTCCATCCACATAGGGAGCGGTTGATACTCCTCCAACCAGCACCAGGAGCCAGGCTATGGAAGCTGGCACTGGCATGGCAAGAGTGTCTCCCAGTCCCTACCAGGAACAGGGTGTGTGGCCACTGGTGCCTGCCTTACTGATCAGTTCATACCTCCTGCCAAGGATTCCAATTCGTCCAAAAGAGATTGAACCAGGCTGCTAAGAGCCTGGATGTGCAGCCTATCCTGGTTCCTCTTCCACCCCCACACAGACAGCAGGAAAGACATTAGTTCGAAATAGATACAACAGCCCAAGAGATGAGGCTGAGCCCAGCGGCAAGGGAATCAGAGGCTACTAGAGACAGAGGGACAGAGAAGAGTGAGGGAGACAGATGGAAGGACCTGCACCAGGAGTTATGGGCACAGAAAAGAACATGAAGACACAGAGAGGAAGGAGAGAGATAAGACACCAGGAAGGGGAAGCCTGACTCAATCCAGGTGCCATGGATGGGATGATAAAGAGAGACACCTTCTAAACTCACAACCTCTCTTCCTAGGAGTCCACAGAAAACCTTCCCTCCTGGCCCACCCAGGTCGCCTGGTGAAATCAGAAGAGACAGTCATCCTGCAATGTTGGTCAGATGTCATGTTTGAACACTTCCTTCTGCACAGAGAGGGGATGTTTAACGACACTTTGCGCCTCATTGGAGAACACCATGATGGGGTCTCCAAGGCCAACTTCTCCATCAGTCGCATGAAGCAAGACCTGGCAGGGACCTACAGATGCTACGGTTCTGTTACTCACTCCCCCTATCAGTTGTCAGCTCCCAGTGACCCTCTGGACATCGTGATCATAGGTGAGAGTGTCCAGACTTTCTTCTCATTGTCATTGGGATGCAGAGTGAATGATCCAGGACTTGGAGGCCCAGGTGGCTGTAAGGAAGATGAGCTTGGTATTCTTATGGAGAGAGACTGACTTGGTGAGGTCTGTGCCAACAGAGACAGAGAAACAGGAGACACAAGTACAGACCAGGTGTCATAACAGAGAACAGACACAGGGGCCATACCGGGAGTTTGAAAAGACAGAAAGAGTTAAAGGAAACACACAGACAGACATGTCCCAGAGAGAGGTGTCCCTCCATGCTGACTTTGCTCAGAGACCTGGCACAGGTTAGAAGTTTCATTTCTGTTTTACCTCCACAAAGTGTTCTCTACCAGGAGAACCCAAGGACACCCATATTTCTGACCTGAGTTGGGCCCTGTGGCCTCAGGCCTTGTGGCACCTACAGATGCCATGTTTATTCTGACACCTCTGCCTTCCATGTAATGGAGAGTAATCGTCCCAGGATATCATGGCCCCACAACACCAACCCCTGTATGCTGTGTGAACTTGTAGTCTCCAGACTGGATTCTGAGGCTCATATTCCAAATAAGCCCACTTATGAGAGGATCAGTGAGAGGCACAGAGAGAAATCAGGGACACCAAAAAGCAAAGACATAAACACACAGAGAATGAGCCAGAGGAAGGAGATTGAGAGACTCACAGACACATAAAGAGAAAAGAGGGCAGAGAAGTGAGAATGATGGAAGGGAGCAGAGAAAAGCACTAAAATTAGACTCCTGAGGGAGAGGCACAAGGACATTGAAAGATGGAGATGTGGGGATGAATTGCAGAGATTCCAAAGAGAACTAGAGAGACCGAGAGGCAGAGCAAGACAGATGATAGATGGATAGATATAGATAGATGATAAATAGGTAGATGATAGATAATAGGTTATAGATACATAGATGATGATTGATTGATTCATTAATAGATGAGACATAGAGATGATGATGATGAAGACAGATAGATAGATAATACATAGAGATACAGAGGCAGACATAGAGAAATCATAGAGAGAGAGAGATGATACATAGATATAGATAATAGATGATTGATGGATAGATAGACAATTGATGGATAAATAGATGATATATAGATATAGATGACAGGTAGAGAATTTGTAGATAGGCACCGAATAGATAAATAGATAGATCGATAGATAATAGATAGAAATATGCAGAAAGTTATGAACAGGACACAAAGTGAGAAACTCAGAATTAAAAAAAGTAACATCAAGTCAACCAATCCAAGGAGAGTCAGAGAGAATAAAACAATCCAAAAAGAGAAAACATATCTAGAGGTGGGGAAGTGAGGTCAGAGACCTAAAGAGACAGAGAAGGTGGAAGGAGGAAATAGACATGAAGAGCGATGGGGTAGAGGGTGAGAGAGAGAGAGAGAGAGCATTAGGTCATAGAGCAGGGGAGTGAGTTCTCAGCTCAGGTGAAGGGAGCTGTGACAAGGAAGATCCTCCCTGAGGAAACTGCCTCTTCTCCTTCCAGGTCTATATGAGAAACCTTCTCTCTCAGCCCAGCCGGGCCCCACGGTTCTGGCAGGAGAGAATGTGACCTTGTCCTGCAGCTCCCGGAGCTCCTATGACATGTACCATCTATCCAGGGAAGGGGAGGCCCATGAACGTAGGCTCCCTGCAGGGACCAAGGTCAACGGAACATTCCAGGCCAACTTTCCTCTGGGCCCTGCCACCCATGGAGGGACCTACAGATGCTTCGGCTCTTTCCGTGACTCTCCATACGAGTGGTCAAAGTCAAGTGACCCACTGCTTGTTTCTGTCACAGGTGAGGAAAGCCCATGGCTGTCCCATGTCCTATGATCCTAGAGCCTTAGCTGAGGAGCTTCCTGCTGATGATGGAGAGAAGCATGGACAGATGCAGAGAGAAGACGCAGCCTCGGTGTGAGGGAGGGATCAGGGCACAGGATGGCCGACAGGGCACCTCCAAACCCTCCTACATGGCCTGCATGGAGGCCCACGGCCAGGGCTCCAGGCACCCAGGCAGATGGAGAAAGCGGTCAGGAGAGACCCAGAGGAGGGAGACTGGGCTCAGTTTGGGGAGATCAGAGGTTCCCTCAGCCCCTCAACCTTACCCATTTCCCAGAAGCCCATCCTGGCCTCTCACCCACACAGAGATGTCATCACCAGCAACCCCTACACCCTTTACTTTTCTTTGAAGAAATATTTATTGAGGATAAATATACCTATATAGCTTACCACTTTTAACATTTTTTTTTGAGGTGGAGTCTAGCTGTGTCCCCTATGCTGGAGTGCAGTGGCACAATCTCAGCTCACTGCAACCTCCACCTCCTGGGTTCAAGCGATTCTCCTGCCTCAGCCACCTGAGTAGCTGGTGCTACAGGCACGCACCACCACGCCAGGCTACTTTTTGTATTTTTAGTAGGGAGGTGGTTTCACCATGTTGGTCGAGCTGGTCTCGAACTCCTGACCAAGTGATCCACCCGCATCTGCCTCCCAAAGTGCTGGGATTACAGGCATGGGCCACCGCGCCCAGCCACATTTACCATTTTTAAGTGTAAAGTCTAGTGGTCATAAATACATTTATATACATATATATATATATACATTTTTTTTACCCTCCACCCTTTTCTTCCTGTCCTCCAGTAGCCACCATTCTACTCTCTACCTTCATGAGATCCACCTTTTAGCTCCTGTATATGGGTGAGAAATGGGAATCTTTGTAATGACCTCCAGTTCCATCCATGTGGCTGCAAATGACAGGATGTTATTCTTTCTATGGATGAGTAGTCTCCACTATGCGTATGTACTACATTCTCTCTATCCATTTACCCACTGATGGGCAGGTAGGTTGACTCCTCATCTTGGCTACTGTGAACAGTGCTGCACCAATCATACGAGTGCAGATATCACTTCGATATATTGATTTACTTTCCTTTGGATATAAACCCAGTAGTGAAATTGCTGGATACTATGAAAGTTCTCTTTTTTTCTTTTTTTCTTTTTTGAGAAAGAGTTTCCCTCCTTAGCCCAAGCTGGAGTCAAAGTGGTGCGACCTTGGCTCATTGCAACCTACGCCTCCTGGGTTCAAATGATTTTCCTGCCTCAGCCTCCCTAGTAGCTGGGATTACAGGTGCACACCACCATGCCTGGCTACTTTTTGGTTTTTTTAGTATAGATGGGGTTTCCCCATGTTGGCTGGGCTGCTCTCAAACTCATGACCTCAACTGAGGTGCCCGCCTCAGTCTCCCAAAGTGCCGGGATTACAGGCATGATCCACCGCACCCAACCTCTTTTTAGTTCTTTAAAGGACTTCCATACTTTTCTCCGTAATGGCTGTACTAATTTACACTCCTCCCAACAGGGTACCAGGGTTCTCCTTTCTCTACCACCTTGCCAGCATTTCTTTTGCCTGTCTTGCAGCTAAAAGCCATTTTATTTTATTTCATTTTATTTTGAGATGGAGTTTTGCTCTTCTCACCCAGGCTGGAGTGCAGTGGCGCGATCTCGGCTCACCACAACCTCCACCTCCCAGGTTCAAGCGATTCTCCTGCCTCAGCCTCCCGAGTAGCTGGAATTACAGGCACACGCCACCACGCCCGACTAATTTTTGTATTTTTAGTAGAGACAGTGTTTCTCTATGTGGGTCATACTGGTCTCAAACTCCCGACCTTATGAGATTCACCCACCTCAGGCTCTCAAAGTTCTAGGATGACAAACGTGAGCCACCTCACCCGGCCTAAAAGCCATTTTAATGGGGTGAGATGAAAACTCACTTTGAATTTAATTTGCGTTTCTCTGATGATGAGTGATACTGAGCAGTTTTTCGTATGTGGGGAAATTTCATGTCTTTTGCTCCTTTTTCAATTAAATCATTTGTTTTATTGAGTTGTTTGAGCTTCTTATATTTCTAGTTATTAATCCCATCTCAGATGCATAGTTTGCACATATTTGCTCCCAATCTGTGGGTTGTCTCTTCACTTTGTTGGTTTATTTTTAGCGGTGCAGAAGTTGCTTAGTATGAGGTAATCCCAATGGTCTATTTTTGCTTCGATTACTTGTGTTTTCAAGGTTTAAAACAAAATGTCTTTCTTCAGACAAATGTCCTGGAGCATTTCCCCAATATTTTGTTCTACGTGTTTCATAGGTTCAGGCCTTAGACTCACATCTTTAATCCATTTTCATTTGATTTTTGTGTATGGTGACAGGTAGAGGTGCAGTTTCATTCCTCTGCATGTAGATGTCCAGGTTTCCCTGCACTGTTTATTGAAAAGACTGTCCTTTCCTGATTGTGAGTTCTTGGCATCTTTGTCAAAGTCCATTGGATGGGCTGGGCTTGGTGGCTAACACCTGCAATTTCAGCACTTTGGGAGCCCGAGGTGGGTGGATCACCTGAGGCCAGGAGTTCAAGATTAGTCTGGCCGACGTGATGAAACATCATCTCCACTAAAAATATAAAAATTAGCTGAGCATGGTGGTCAGCACCTGTAATACCACTACTCAGGAGTTTGAGGCAAGAGAATGATTGAACCCAGGAGGCTGAGGTTGCAGTGAACCGAGATTGCACCTTTGCACTCCAGCCTGAGTGACAGAGCAAGACTCCATCTCAAAAGAAAAAATAAAAAACCATTGGATGTAAATGCATGGAATATATCTGTGTTATTCATTCTGCTCCGTTGTTCTATGTGCCTTTCTTTATGCCAGTGTCATGCTATTTTGCTTACTACAGCTCTGTAACATATTTTGAGATCAGGTAGTGTGATGCTCCTGTTTTCTCTTTATACCTTGAAGTCTCAAGACAGTGGGTGTCACATAAAAAAATTATGGAAAAAAGGATCCCAGGACTCCCAGGGCCCAATATTAGATAACAGAGTGTTGGCCATGAACCATCCTCAAAGATTTCCACTGAGTGGAGGACAGAAACCCTCATTTCCTCACCTCTCTCCTGTCTCATGTTCTAGGAAACCCTTCAAATAGTTGGCCTTCACCCACTGAACCAAGCTCCGAAACCGGTGAGTACAGAACCCTCTTATATCCGCTTTTGGAAACCTGGGGAGGTGGAAACCTTGGATTCAGGCGTTGACTCAGCATCTCACAGCTCTGACATTGTACACCTGTCTTCCACCATCTCCGAACTCCAGATACTCCTACAGCGAAAGGGATCTGGGCCCAACACAGGGCTCAGTGAAATCTCTTCATCTCTCATTTTATGGAGCTGAGACCTCCTACAAGCTAGAAGAATGATTGCCAATCTGACATCCTTCTCAGGAAAAATGCAATGTTTGTTCTGCCTGCATTCCTAACTGGAGGATAAATTCCTGGAGACTTGAGAGAGGGAAGGGAAGGGAACATCTGATGAGGGCGAGGTGTTTTAGAGAAGTTCCACTTGCCAAGGAATGAGCTCCTGTAGGTCATGAAGCAACCCTGGCTGACTCAGCAGAGCAAGAGCCTTGCCGTAACAGAGAACAGAGCTCATGCACACACACTTCGACTCACTGACTCATTCAGCCACGGCCCCATGCTCAGGCTGTGCAGTGCGGAACCTTTTCCTATTGTTGCCATAACAAATTTCCACAAGATTCGTGGGTGAAAACAAAACGGTTTTTTAATTATCTTACAGTGCTGTAGCTCAAAGTAGGAAGTGCATCTTACTGGGCTAAAATCAAGGTGACAGCAAGGCTGCCTTCCCTCTGAGGATTCCAGGCACGAATCTGCTTCTCACTTGTCCCAGCTTCTAAAGGCTCCCAGTTCCTTGGCTCCTGGTCCCCTTCCTCCTTCCTCAAAGCCCACAAAGACTGGTCACATCTCACATGGCATCACTCAGTGCCTTCTTCCTTACCACACTTCTTTCTCTGAATGCTGCTCTCCCTTCTTCCTCATCTTTTGAAAACTTGGGGATTCTATTGGGTTCACCAAGATGAAAATCCCTCATAATCTCCTGGAAATCATCCAGGATACCCTTGTTTTAAGTTCAGCTGATTAGTAACCATAATTCCATCTGCAATCTTCATTCCTCCTTTCCATGTAAAATAACATATTCACAAGCTATGGAGGCTAGGACAGGGACATTTTGGGGTGGGACAGCATTCTCCTGCCTTCCACAAACAGTGAACAAGATGCATTTGGCCTCTGCCCTTGGGACACTGATATTGCAGATGGTTAAATGGGAGGGCAGAAAATGAATGCACAAGTGGATCTATAAATGAATGATCCATTGGGAAGCATCTGTGCATGAAATCTATTTTTTGTTTGTTCTTTTGTTTATTGAGACAGAGTTGCCCTCTGTCTTCCAGGCTACAGTGCAGTGTCACGATCTTGGCTCACTGCAACCTGCTTCTCCTGGATTCAAGTGATTCTCCTGCCTCCGCCTCTCGAGTAGCTGGGATTACAGGCAACTGCCACCGTGCCCGGCTAATTCTTTTTGTATATTTTTTGTAGAGAGGATGTTTCACCACGTTGGCCAAGCTTGTCTGAAACTCCCAACCTCAAGTGATCCGACCGTCTCAGCATGCCAAAGTAATGGGACTACAGGCGTGAGCCACTGTGCCCAGCCAGAATTCAAAATCAATAATAGATAATGCTGAGTGTATGATTTCAGGTGACAAAGAAGGTCTCACTATTCAGATATTTGTGACATTAATGAAAAACACGGATTGAACCCCTGAAAGATTGGCGGAAGGATTTTGCACACACAGCTGTCAGCCGTGAAGGCACAAAGGTGAAAACAATCTGATGTGGAAGGAAGAGGCTCTTCCTCAAATGCTGGGAATGAGGTGGGGAGAATGACAAGACGACTGTGGAGAGACGGAGAGCACACTGGGTACACAGGAAACTAAGGAGCAACAAGGAGTGTGTGTTTGACACTCACAGCCATTGGATTCACCTCGGGGTAACCAGGAATCCCTACATGATTAATATGACTGACATGAAAATAAAGGAGGCCCAGGGGCGTAACTGGAATCTAGGAGACCGTGGAAAAGGCAATTCCCGACCCACTGGTGAAATGTGGTGCTGATTTTGACACTAAGTGGATGAAGCAGATGGATATAAGCTATGCTTGTGAGGTAGAATCATTGGCTGGAAAGGCTTGCTGGGTTTGATTTTCCTACTTGTTTAATCCTCGCTTAATTAATTTCTTTCTGAGATTTATTCATCCTACACATAAATCAATACCTGGCAAAGGAGTGACAGATATATGAGGGGTGGTGGAAATGAAGAGACCTATTATAGCGTAATATACAAGTCTGTGAACGGTGGCTCACGCTTGTAACCCAGCACTGCAGGAGGCCAAGGCGGGTGGATTCCATGAAGTCAGGAGTTCCAGACCAGCCTGGCCAACATGGTGAAACCCTATCTGTACTAAAAATACAAAAATTAGCCGAGCATGGTGGTGCATCCCTGTAATCCCAGCTCCTACTCTGGAGGATGAAGCAGGAGAATGACTTCAACCCAGGAGGTGGAGGTTGCAGTGAGTGGAGATTGCATCACTGCACTCCAGCCTGGGTGACACAAGGAGACTCCGTCTCAAAAAATAAAAATAAGAAATGCATAAATATAATAAAACACACACGAATGACAAAGGCACCTGAATTCCAATCATCATTTTTCTATTTCTCTATAATTACTTCTTTGATCCTTTATCTTATCCATTAGGCAATGAGCCTAAAACCTCTTCCCTATTTGGCTTTCTGTGAGCATGAGATCACATAGAAAATGTGAAAGCCCGCTGAATCCTCCAGCACGGATCCTGGAATAGAGAAAGTGCTCTGTTCATCGCAAAAAAAAACTTGCCCACTCACCCAAATCCCCCACCTCACCCCTACTTCCAATCACCTGTGGAGATTCAGATAGACCATGGGGAGGAAACATTAATACTCCTTGGAGTGAGTCCAGATCTTGGAATCAGAGATCAGCGACAGCACTAGCTCCTGTTCCCCTTTCCTACTAATTCACAGGAGGACAGGTGGTATTGAAGCAATAGATGGTGGAGGGGGTGGTCCTTCCCCCAGCCTCTCGGGTAGAACAGCAGCCTAACATGTGTCTCCCGAGATCACAAAGAGCAGCACATTTCACACGGGCTTCAACACTATTTTCTGGCTGTTTGACATAAGAGAATCTTGCTTCGCTATTTTTAATCGTGATTTCACCTTTGTTTCCTTTCCTTGGTGAATGCAATTTGTTTGACTCAAGAATGCTGTGGATGTAGAAATCCTAAAGCACATTCGCTGTGTATCAATCCCAGTGCAGTCTTCCCAGAGAAGACTCTAAACAAATCCTGGACTGCACCTGGGCCTATGCCAATTCCTATCACTCACCGTCACTCCAGGGAGACAGAACACACAGAGAATACGTTACATAGGCAGGTTCATTACTAACAGATAAGCAGTGAGTGACAACAGAAGCCTGCATTTCAATGTGAGCCAGTCCCTCAAGGCTCAGAAAAGCTGCTCGGGACATATGGAGTCACCCCATTTGCAGTGTAACTGGGGGAAGCCAGAAAGCAGCCCAGCCTGGGTTTTGTACCCTGGAGCCACAGGAAGCACTCAGCTAAAGCACTGCATGACGTCCTCCTCCAGGAAGAACAGGAAGACAGCCCAGGCTGTTCTGAGACATTCCTCCTGATCTCAGGATGTTGCTATCTTAGTCCATTTTTGTTGCTCTAAAGGAACACTTGAGCCTGGGTAACTTCTAAAGAAAAGAGATTGGTTTGCCTCACAGTTCTGCAGGCTGTACTGGAAGCATGGCACCAGAATCTATTTCTCGTGATGGCCTCAGGCTGCTCCCACTCTGGCAGAAGGGAAGGAGGGTCTGTCTGTGCAGAGACCGCAGAGATCACACGGCAAGAGAGAGAGTAAGGGGGAGAGGGAGCGATGGAGCTTCCAAGCTCTTTTTAACAACCAGCTCTCCAGGAACTAACAGAGGGGGAACTTGCTAACCCCGTCTCCTTGGGACAGCATTGGTCTGTTCATGATGGATCCACCTCCATGACCCAAACACCTCTGAAGAGGCCCAACCTCCCACAATGGGGGTGAAATTTCAATGTGAGGTTTGAAAGGGTCAAACATCTCAACTAAAGTAGTTGTATCCTCAGCACGTTCTATGGTTACTATGAGAGCTATAATTGAGAAAGCAGGGGAAAGCTAGGTCTCCCGCCATTTGGGTGCTTGTCCTAAAGAGACGTTGTATGTGGTTACCTGCCAATCAAGAAATGCGAGACAATTCATAAAGAGGAACTGCTATGATTAGCTTCTTATTGGTGTCTCCTCTTCTTCCAGGTAACCCCAGACACCTACATGTTCTGATTGGGACCTCAGTGGTCAAAATCCCTTTCACCATCCTCCTCTTCTTTCTCCTTCATCGCTGGTGCTCCGACAAAAAAAGTAAGTCTCACGAAGCAGAGGCCAGAGAGCTCAGGGCCATGTGGGGAAGCAGGATGGGAGCACGCGGATGTGTGTTCCTCACCAGCAGGATGGTCCCTGGCCCAAGACAGGAGCCACAGAGGCAGGACTTTCTAGAGAGAGCACCAGATTCCCTTCCCCTGCCTTCAGCTCACAGACCATTGCCTGATTCTGAACTGTATCCTCACGTCCCCTGCAGCCACTCACATCCAGGAGAAGGTTCCATGACAGGCAGAAAGTGGGAGATAGAATCAATGGGATGGGACCTCAGAGCTATTCATGGGATGGGTCCTTGAACTCAGAGAGATAGAATGTCTGAGTCTGCTGTTGGCAACTGAGGGACCTCAGGCACCTATGGCCTCCCCCTGTTTGTTGGTATCTGCTTATGAAATGAGGACCCAGAAGTGCCCTCCGAGCTCTTTTGTTGACTTCCGTCTTCTACAGATGCTGCTGTAATGGACCAAGAGCCTGCAGGGAACAGAACAGTGAACAGCGAGGTAGGTGCTCCTCGGCCCAGCCTCGTGGCTAGTCTTATTCCCAAAGAGTCCTGAAAAATGTGAGCACCCTCCCTCACTCAGCATTTCCCTCTCTCCAGGATTCTGATGAACAAGACCATCAGGAGGTGTCATACGCATAATTGGATCACTGTGTTTTCACACAGAGAAAAATCACTCGCCCTTCTGAGAGGCCCAAGACACCCCCAACAGATACCAGCATGTACATAGAACTTCCAAATGCTGAGCCCAGATCCAAAGTTGTCTTCTGTCCACGAGCACCACAGTCAGGCCTTGAGGGGATCTTCTAGGGAGACAACAGCCCTGTCTCAAAACCGGGTTGCCAGCTCCCATGTACCAGCAGCTGGAATCTGAAGGCATCAGTCTTCATCTTAGGGCATCGCTCTTCCTCACACCACGAATCTGAACATGCCTCTCTCTTGCTTACAAATGTCTAAGGTCCCCACTGCCTGCTGGAGAGAAAACACACTCCTTTGCTTAGCCCACAATTCTCCATTTCACTTGACCCCTGCCCACCTCTCCAACCTAACTGGCTTACTTCCTAGTCTACCTGAGGCTGCAATCACACTGAGGAACTCACAATTCCAAACATACAAGAGGCTGCCTCTTAACACAGCACTTAGACACGTGCTGTTCCACCTCCCTTCAGACTATCTTTCAGCCTTCTGCCAGCAGTAAAACTTATAAATTTTTTAAATAATTTCAATGTAGTTTTCCCGCCTTCAAATAAACATGTCTGCCCTCATGGTTTCGGTAACGAGACTCTTTTCTTGCCTAAGGCTTCCGGTGTTATCATTACCATGTCCACATAACCCCATCTGTTCTCCATTGGGTTCTCAGCCCTGGACTCTGAGCTTCTGGAAGCAGAATGGAGCCTGATTTGTCTCTGAGACTCCAATTTCCATCCAAAGATACAGCACATAGGAGGCTCCAAGGATCGTGAATCACATGAACAAGTGATATTCTTACTCTCTGCAGACCTGGAAAGCTGGCAGAGTCATTCCACGATGAAACATTTGTAGAGTCATAGGCCTTGTTAGCCTCATCTCCACGGGGACACATATCAACATATCATCTTTCATAATATAAATATACAGTCGGTCCTCCATATCTGTGGGGTTTACAGGTGTTTATTGAACCAACAATAAATCAAAAATGTTTTCAGAAAAAAATCCCCGAAGTTTCAAGAAGCAAAAAACTATGTTGAATCGACACAAATTGAGTGGCGTGTAGGCTGTGTCAGGAATTATAAGTAATCAAGAGATGATTTCATGTATACAGGAGGATGTGCATGGGTTCTATGCAATTACTATGCTATTTTTTTTTTTTGAGACAGTCTCACTCTCTCACCCAGGCTGGAGTGCAGTGGCATGATCTCAGCTCACTGCAACCTCCGCCTCCCAGGTTCAAGCGATTGTCTTCCCTCAGCCTCCCCAGTAGCCTCCCCTAGGATTACAGGCACGTGCCACCATGCACAGATAAATTTTTTTGTGTGTGTATTTTTAGTAGAGATGGGGTTTCAGAATGTTGGACCAGCTGGTCTTGAACTCCTGACCTCGTGATCTACCCAACTCAGCCTCCCAAAGTGCTGGGATTACAGGCGTGAGCCACGGTGCCCAGCTTCGCTATGCCATTTCATGCAAGGGGCTTGAGCATCTGCAGATTTTGGTATCTGAATGGGGATCCTGGAACCAATCACCCAGGAATAGTGAAGGACCACAGTATATAATTTTTATTTGTCAATCTTAAAAATAAAGCATAAAAAGTTTACAACAACAAGATAAAAAATAAGAAGTGTTTTTATAGTGTGAGGATAAGTTTAGATTTATTTTTTCCTACGTGTAACCCTATGGTCCTGTGTTATTTATTGAGAAAATATTCTATTCCACCTTAAACTACATGGCAGCCTTTGTCAACTATGAAGGGACTGTGTATCCACAGATGTATTTTAGACACAGTTTTCTGCCCAGTGGTTCTCTGTATCCCCTCTCATGAGGATGCTGCATTTCATATAAACTTATAGAACCCCTTAAAATTTGGTAACCTGAGTTCTCTGATTTGTTATTATAGGTTATTTAGTTTGCTTTTTTTTTTCTTTCTTGAGACAGACTCTTCCTCTGTCACCCAAGCTGGAGTTCAGTGGCTTGAGCTCAGCTCACTGCAGCCTCCGCCTCCCAGGTTCAAGCAATTCTCGTGCCTCAGGTTTAGTACTAGAAACTCATCAGGAAAATTAGAATGGCTTTTTGTCACAATTACTCTGATAATGTTAATAATACCTCTTAGATATTTTGCACATTACACATGAAGAAAAGTTTGAATCTCAGATAAAAACAAAAATACATCAAAAGTCTTTAATGTAAGCACAGAATTCAATCACCTCATGTGTGAGAGGTTGGATCTGAGACGTCTTTTGAGTCTGGTCATAGTGAAGGATGCAAGGTGGCAATTGTAGTCACAACAATTTCCAGGAAGCCATGTTCCGCTCTTGAGCGAGCACCCACTGGGCCTCATGCAAGGTAGAAAGAGCCTGCGTACGTCACCCTCCCATGATGTGGTCAACATGTAAACTGCATGGGCAGGGCGCCAAATAACATCCTGTGCGCTGCTGAGCTGAGCTGGGGCGCGGCCTCCTGTCTGCACCGGCAGCACCATGTCGCTCACTGTCGTCAGCATGGCGTGCGTTGGTGAGTCCTGGAAGGGAATAGAGGGAGGGAGAGTGGGGATGGAGATCTCGGCCTAGAGGTAAAGATATGGGCCTGGAGTGGAGATATGGGCCTGGAGTGGAGATATGGGCCTGGGTGTGGAGATATGGGCCTGGAGGTGTAAATATGGGCCTGGAGTGGAGATATGGGCCTGGAGGGGAGATATGGGCCTGGGTGTGGAGATATGGGCCTGGAGTGGAGATACGGGCCTGGAGTGGAGATATGGGCCTGGAGTGGAGATATGGGCCTGCAGGTGGAGATCTGGGCCTGGAGTGGAGATATGGGCCTGGAGTGGAGATATGGGTCTGATGTGGAGATATGGGCCTGGAGTGGAGATATGGGCCTGGAGTGGAGATATGGGCCTAGAGGGGAGATCTGGGCCTGGAGTGGAGATATGGGTCTGATGTGGAGATATGGGCCTGGAGTGGAGATATGGGTCTGATGTGGAGATATGGGCCTGGAGTGGAGATAGGGGCCTGGAGTGGAGATATGGGCCTGGAGTGGAGATCTGGGCCAGGAAGTGTTGATCTGGGCCTGGAGCCTGGGTCTCTCCACAGCTGAGAGCCCTGTTCTTGGCAGCAGGTAGCAGGGAGGCTAAGTTTACCTTCAGCCCAGCAAGGGCCTGGCTGCCAAGACACACAGTGCAGTGGGGGCAGCAGGGTGCCCTGGTTTGCCTGCAGTTGGATCGTCTATCATGATCTTTCTTTCCAGGGTTCTTCTTGCTGCAGGGGGCCTGGCCACTCATGGGTGAGTCCTTCCCCAAACCTTAGGGTGTCATCTCCCCACATAAGAGGATTTTTCTGAAACAGGAGGGAAGTCCTGTCGGGGAGTCTCTCATAAACTAGGAAGAGGGGACCCTTGGATACTCGGCCCACATTTCTGACCTCGCCCTCCCCGGCCTTTCTTTCCCTTTCCTGAGTCAAGCTCTGTGAAGACTGGGGTGAGACTGGGGTGCTCCAAGCTGGGGTGTGCAGGGAGGAAGTGGTGTCAGCAGCAGAGAAAGAGAGGGAAGCAGTGCTAGGAACAGCAGGTCCTCTGAGGACAAAGGTATAACTGACACCCTCCAGCGTTTCCGTGACGGTAGGGACTGCAGTGTGGCTGCGGTCTTTCTACCAGAAGAGGGGGGAAACCACAGCCATGGCCCTGACATTCCAAATCCTCTGAGGGGGCTCAGTTCATGAATTGGCTGATATTCCATTCACATAGGACATGCCCTCCATGCCGTGTCTACTTTGTGTTGTTTTATGTGAGTAATTTTGCAGTATTAAAATCTAGTAAGAGTCACTTATTCAGCACTTGCTCAAAGTTCTCAGCTGACACTTGTTGTAGGGAGACGCCATGTCTATGTGGGGTGGGTCCTTCCTGTAGCCCTGGGCACCCAGGTGTGGTAGGAGCCTTAGAAAGTGGAAATGGGAGAATCTTCTGAGCACAGGGAGGGAGGGGTGGCTCCACATCCTCCTCTCTAAGGCAGTGCCTCCTTCTCCCCCAGGTGGTCAGGACAAACCCTTCCTGTCTGCCCGGCCCAGCACTGTGGTGCCTCGAGGAGGACACGTGGCTCTTCAGTGTCACTATCGTCGTGGGTTTAACAATTTCATGCTGTACAAAGAAGACAGAAGCCACGTTCCCATCTTCCACGGCAGAATATTCCAGGAGAGCTTCATCATGGGCCCTGTGACCCCAGCACATGCAGGGACCTACAGATGTCGGGGTTCACGCCCACACTCCCTCACTGGGTGGTCGACACCCAGCAACCCCCTGGTGATCATGGTCACAGGTCAGAGGCTTTCTGTCTGGGCTTCTCACTGTCCCACCTCCTGAATCCCAGAGCTTCTGGTGGGGGTGTCCATCAGGGTCCCATCACCCAGGCCCCAACTGTATTTGGGGTCAAGGGGGATTGAATACAGGGGAAATGGGCGCTGTGGTGGGAAGAATCACTGTCGCCAATGATGGCTACATTGTAAACCCTGGAGCCTGTGACTATTTATGTTATAGGGCAGGGGACTGAAGGGGAAGGTGGAGCTCAGGTTGTTGATGAGTTGACCTTGAGATGGGGAGACAGCCTGGACTGTCCTGCTGGGCTCAGTGTAATCACAAGGGTCCGCGTGAGAGGTGGAGGAAGAGGGGAGTGGGGATTAGAGCAGTGTAGTGGGAGGGAGACGCTATCAGCCACTGTGGGCTTTGAAGGTGGAGGAAGGCCACTAGTCACAGAATGCAGGTGGCCTCTAAGGGCTGGAGAAGTCAAGAGAACTGATTCGCTGAGTCTCCAGAGGGAACGCAGCCCTGCAGATGCCTTGATTTCAGCACAGGGAGAACTGGATCCAATTTCTGTCCCCAGAAGTGGAAGGGGTCAGTGTGTTCTCTCCTGCTGCCATGTTTGTGATAATTTTCTGCAGCAGCAACAGGAA
>NT_167247.2:0-129556 GCF_000001405.40 Homo sapiens
TGGCTGTAGGAAACCAGGTCTTTCCCTCCCAAGGGAGGTGAACTACAAGCTTCTGTTCCACAGGAAAACATAACCCTTTTTGTCCAAAACTGACACCGCTTTGAGAGCGACCAGCGGCTTTTTCCATCTCTGAAAATAATTTTCTCAACTGTGTATTTTGAAAGTCTCGGAGTTTCGCCAGAAGCGTCTTTCGTTCGGAAAAAATTCTAAACATTCCTTCTTTAGAGAAAGCTGAGATCACAGCGCTCCCATGACTAATGATTGGACCCACTTTTGCCGCCCAACCAAGATTCTATGAGTGGTGGAAATGTAGGGGAGAATGAGGAAAGGTCTGTAGTCTGTCAGATATGGGTGGAGTGGGGGTGGGGGGGGGAGGAGAGAAATCTAATGGATGTTTTCCAAGGGCGATTTTTTTTTCTTCTCTTTCTGTTTTTTATTCCCCCCCGATTTCTTAATAGTAATGAGAAACGGCAGCAAAGGAGAACGAGTCTTTTTTTTTTTTTTTTTTTTTTTTGTGATGGAGTCTTGCTCAGTCGCCCAGGCTGGAGTGCAGTGGCGCGATCTCGGCTCACTGCAAGCTCAGCCTCCCGGGTTTATGCAATTCTCCTGTCTCAGCCTCTGGAGTAGCTGGGACTACAGGTGCCCGCCACCACGCCCGGCTAATTTTTTTTTTTTTTTGTATTTTTAGTAGAGATGGGGTTTCACCATGTTAGCCAGGATGGTCTAGGAGAACGAGTCTTCTATGACCGGCATGCCTGTTGCTTCACTCTCAGGGGATCTTGAATAAGCAGCTTCTCTATTTCAGTAAATAACTATAAAGCTGTGCTGAAGCAGTCAGGTTGGGAGGCTGAAGGAGTGTTAGGACCCATAGTACAAATGAATGAGTACCAAATGGCTTACCTTCGCTGTGAGTAGGAAAAACACAAGCTAGTGTATGCACAAAGAAAAAAGAAAAGACTGGAACTAAGTATTCAAAGACTGAAACGAAATGTTCAACGATAGATATAAGGAAATGTACTTGTGGAAGTGCTGGGGATCGAACCCAGAGCCTCATGAATGTTAAGCATACGCTCTACCACTGAGCTACACCCCCACTTACAATGCCGTTTTCTTACTGATTTATTATATGCTATTATCTAAAGGTGAGGGCTTAAGGCATGATAGGTTAAAGTCCGCTATGTTTTAACTCCTGTTTCTGAAACTTCTGAATGGAATCTTGTCTTGACGCTGTGTCAAGAGGAGAAAGGCATTCTGGACCGAAAGACCCTTGGATCCTCTCACAGCCGTCATCTATTTCAAGGACTGCTGTTAGCCAACTTTCTTTGTCAGTTTCCGTCCACCTGGAGCGAAGTTCCAAGATTGAATCTTCTGGTATGTCTTCAGATTCTCTCCTTTTTAAAAAAACCTCCTCTATGGAGCTGCCAACACACACACACACACACACACACGCGCGCGCGATAGTGCCAGAGAATATAAAGACGAGTTCTGTGAGTGCTGCAGAGGAAACGTAGATCCAGGTGAGGAGACAAGACAAGATGTTAATGCACAAAAGTCAACTAAAAACGAATTTAAATCTTAAACTTAAGCCCCTAAACTGTAAAATTCCTTGAAGAAAACAGGGGGGAATATTCTTGACATTGGTTTAGGCAATGGTTTCTTGAGTATGACACCAAAAGCACAGGCAACAAAAGCAAAAATGGATAAGCGAGACTATAGCAAACTAAAAAGCTTCTTCACAGGAAAGAAAACAATCAACAAAGGAAAAAGGCAAGCTATGGAATGGGAGAAAATATTTGCAAATCATTTATCTGATAAGGGGTTAATATACAAAATAAATTTTTTAAACCGCTACAAGTCAATAGCCACACACACACACACACACACACACACCCCTTAGAATCCCAAATAACCTGATTTTTAAAACGAGCATAGGACTTGAATAGACATGTCTCCAAAGAAGACATACAAATAGCCACTAGGTATGTGAAGAGGTGCTCTTAACATCACTAATCATCAAGGAAATGCAAATCAAAATCACAATAGATACCACCTCACACCTATTAGGATGTCTGTTATTAAAAAGAAAAAACTCAAAAGGTAAGTGTTAGCAAAGATGTAGAGAAATTGGAACCCTTCTACACTGTTGGTGTGTAAAATGATGACACCACTATGGAAAATAGTAAGGGGTCGCCTCAAAAGATAAAAATAGAACTACCATATGATCCAGCAATCCCACTTCTGGGTATATGTCCCCAAAAAATCGAAATTAGAATTTCAAAGAAACATATGCACTCCCATGTTCACTGCAGCATTATTTACAATAACCAAGATAAGGGAACAATCCAAGTGTCCATTGAGAGATGAGTGGACAAAGAAAATGTGGTATATACATACAATGGAATATTATTCAGCCTTTTATAAAAAAGAAATTCTGCCATTTGCACCAGCATCAATGATTAACCTGGAGGACATTATGCTAAGTGAAATAAGCCAGTCACAGAAGGACAAATATTTCATAATTCCACTTATATGAGGTATCTAAAATAGTCAAACTCATAAATGCAGAGAACAGAATGGTGATTGTCAGGGACCAGAGGCAGAGGGAAATGGGGAGTTGTTGCTCGGTGAGTTAAAATTTTAGTTATGAAACATGAATAAGTTCTAGAGATCTATTGCACAACCTAGTGCCTTCAGTTAACAATACCATAATGTACACTTAAAATTTTGTTAAAAAGATAACTCGGCCGGGAGCGGTGGCTCACGCCTGTAATCTCAGCACTTTGGGAGGCCGAGGCGGGCGGATCACGAGGTCAGGAGATCGAGACCATCCTGGCTAACGCGGTGAAACCCCGTCTCTACTAAAAATGTTTTAAAAAATTAGCCGGGCGCGGTGGCGGGCGCCTGTAGTCCCAGCTACTCGAGAGGCTGAGGCAGGAGAATGGCGTGAACCCGGAAGTCGGAGGTTGCAGTGAGCCGAGATCGCACCACTGCACTCTAGCCTGGGCGACAGGCGAGACTCAGTCTCAAAATAAAAAAAAAAAAAAAAAAGATAACTCTGATGTTTAAGTCTTCTTACCACCCATGAACATGAAAGAACACAAAGAAACTTTTGGAGTTGATAAGTGTGTTTATTACCGATTGTGGAAATAGCATTATAAATGTATGCATATGTCCTCACTCATATGCTTACCTTCAACGTGTAGGGGTTTTGCATATATCAACTGTACTTCAATAAAGTTGTTAATAACTCCTGAAAAACAACCAAACAAGCAAAGACAAGAGGTTAATTCACAACATTGACAAAAACAAAGAGTGACAAAGGTAGCAGTTTTGCACAAGGTTGCGTCCAACATCTGGATTTGGAAATGTGGCAGCGGCTTCATCGGCGACTCTACAGCTATAGGTTTTTTTGTTTTTGATTTTTTATAGAGACGGGATGGGGGAAGGGGGCGGGTCGGTCTTCTCCCTGTGTTGCCCAGGCTGGTCTTGAATTCCTGGGCTTAAGCAATACTCCCGCCTCCGCCTCCAAAAGTGCTCGGATTACTGGTGTTTGCCGCCAAGCCTGACTAGCTCTGGTTTTAAAGACAACACAAACGAAGCCGAAGACAGAGGACTCTTTCAGAGCAAATTTTTTTGAGCAAGGAGGAAAGCACAAAGGAAGCTGGTCTCAACCTGAGAAAACCAATTCACCCTTTGTAAAACCCTCCCTACACCCCCACAAGTGAGAAAATTTCATCAGTCCCTGAAGTGCAGAAAGTAGACCCTTCCCATCTGTAGCCAAAATGTGGTGCGACTGTTTAATCCAGATACGAATTTTGGAGAACATTGTAAACCCAGCAGGGGCGTAAGGGAGAGTAGGGAGAAGTTTGTCCCTAATGTACAGGTTATGTTCTTACTATACTAGAAAGGCAAGTGGCTGGGAACTGAAATGAGCTGAGGAGTGGACGCAAGGGAAGGCTTTGAAAAGGAAGGAAGGGCTCTTGGAGCCGGGAGGGATAACACTGAGTGGAGGAGAGAAGAAGCAGCGGAGAAGAAGGCAGAAGAAAAATCGGGGACGCGTCTTTAAAGACGGATAGTATTGAGACAAGCGTGGAGGAAGAAAGCAGCCAAGCGCCGCGTCTCTGCCAAGCTTTCTCTAGGCCCTGGGGAAGAGAGAAGGCTCTAGGTGAGTGGTTTCAAAGTGTATATCCCACAGAAGGGTACGGCTCGTGTTGCCCAAGATTTTGTGACTCTGAGAGTGCCTCACTGCACTGCACTCTCCATCGCAGGAAACAGGCTGAGCATTTTCGAGGGCGTGTGGTTGAGTATTCGTGGAGCAGTAGCCCCTGGTATTGGAGGTTTGAGGAAAGTGACGTTGTGTCAGTTCTCATGTGGAAGCAGCCTGCAGCTTTGATGCAGGCAGCAACTGTTTAGTTTGTGTTTCTTTTTGTTTGTTTGTTTATTTTCGCGTGTTTGGGTTTAAAATACAAGAGAAAGAATGAGGAAGAAAGGTTAAGTAGTGACTGAACGTTTTGGGTTAGAGTAGATACCCACTAAAACCATCGTACTTCTGGCTAGCTCAGCTGGAAATGCATCAGGCCACTAGTCCGGAAATTTAGGAATCACGATCCTGTTCTGATGTAGATACTTTTCATTTTCCCATACTTCTTTTTGATTCATACTCAACAGGCTACTGAACCCAGCTTTCTCCTGGAGCAACCGGGAGGGTATTTGCGGTGCGTTTTGCTGCTTATATTCTCTCTAGTCTCAGCGGAAGAGACAAGATTTGAACGGGGAAAGTCGGATTTGCAGAGAGGTATTCATTCAAGGCTCTTTTCTGCCCTACTGTCAAGTGGATGAACAAAACGCTGACTTAAGATATGAGGAGGATTGCAGTGTTGAGAGTGCAAAAAGTGTCAAGTCAAAACATGGACATATTTTGCTCATAATGTAGATAAATTATTTTGGTAGACATAAATTTTATTATTATTATTATATTTATTTATTTTTTGAGACGGACTCTCGCTCTGTCGCCCAGGCTGGACTGCAGTGGCGCGATCGCGGCTCTCTGCAACTTCCGCCTACCGGGATCAAGCGATTGTCCTGCCTCAGCCTCCCGAGTAGCTGGGAGTACAGGCGCCCGCCACCACACCCGTTTAATTTTTGTATTTTTAGTAGAGACAGGGTTTCACCATATTATTCGGGCTGGTCTCGAACTCCTGACCCCAGGTGATCCGCCCGCCTCGGTCTCCCAAAGTGCTGGGATTACAGGCGTGAGCCACAGCACCCGGCCATAAATTTATTAATATAAAAAATTATTGGTCAGGAGCAGTGGCTTACACCTCAAATCCCAGCACTTTGGGAGACCAAAGCAGGAGGATCAATTGAGTTCAGGAGTTGGAGACCAGCCTGGCTAACATAGTGAGAGCCTGTCTCTACAAAAAAATAGAAAAATTAGCCAGGTATGGTGGTGCACACCTGTGGTCCCAGCTACACCAGAGGCCAAGGCAGGAGGATTGCCTGGGCCTAGGAGTTTGAGGTAGCAGTGAGCCATGCTTGCAGTGCCACTGCACTCCAGCCTGGGTGACAGGGCGAGACCTCAACTCAAAAAATAAATAAAATAAACTTTACTTAAAAAAAATTACTGAGGGGACAGCCAGAGTGGCTCACGCCTGTAATCCTAGCATTTTCGGAGACCAAGACAAGAGAACTGAGTCCAGGAGTTTGTGCTCAAGTAATAACAATACTATCAGCACTCAATCTTGGTATCTTAAAACTTGACATTTAAATGAAATTTTAATTTGAGTCAATTAAGAATAGAATATTCCACTTTTGCATAATTAACCATGAATTCACACAACAAATCAGAATTTATTTATTTCATTTTTATTATTATTATTTTTTGAGATGGTGTCTCACTCTGCCACCCAGGCTGGGGTGCCAGTGGCGTGATCTCAGTTCACTGCAACCTCCACCTCCCGGGTTCAAGTGATTCTCGTGTCTCAGCCTCCCTAGCAGCTGGGATTACAGGCGCACGCCACCAAACCCAGCTAATTCTTGTGTTTTTAGTAGAGATGGATTTCGCCATGTTGGCCAGGCTGGTCTTGACCTCCTGACCTGAGATGATCCGCCCATCTCGGCCTCCCAAAATGCTGGGATTACAGGCATGAGCCACCATGCCCGGGCCAAATTGGAATTTAGCACCCACATTTATCTTAACTCAGTAGTTCCTAAGTAAAAGAGATTTGTAAGGCCAGGCGCGGTGGCTCACGCCTGTAATCCCAGCACTTTGGGAAGCCGAGGCGGGCGGATCACGCAGGAGATCAAGAACATCCTAGCTAACATGGTGAAACCCCGTCTCTACTAAAATTACAAAAAAATTAGCCGGGCTTGGTGGCATGCGCCTGTAGTCCCAGCTACTCAGGAGGCTGAGGCAGGAGAATCGCTTGAATCCGGGAGGCGGAGTTTGCAGTGAGCCGAGATCGCAGTTCACACCACCGCACTCCAGCCTGAGCGATAGAGCGACACTCCGTCTCAAAAAATTAAATAAATAAATAAATAAATAAGTATTTGTTTGTATGTCAATCTAGGAACAATTCACAGCCGTCTCTACTTTGAACCACCCAAAAGGCTGATTTATGTGAATTTAATTTCACTTGACAATTAATTAAACTCCTCTGCATATCCTGCCTTTTGTTTTGTTTCTTGTTTTGTTTGTTTACTAAGAGACTGCAATCTGCTTGTAGTTCACCCCTGCTCAAGCAAGACATACATTCAGTTTTGTTTTTTCAGTTGTGAGTAAATACCTCTTTTCCTCAGCAATATGTGGGTCCTGTGAGTTTCTTAGAGGGCCCTGGCTCATTTTGCTGATAGGGTTGCCAAACTCTTAGTGTGATAATAGTGCATTCTTTGACCACTTTGTTTCTAAATTCTGGCCATCCTTCAAAACTATGAGCTCGAGCGAGTGTCCCAACCACATGAGTTCCAGGTTGTTGTAATTGAGCCTTTATCAGTACATTTTGATGAAAGCTTTTCCTATTAGGATTTGGATTTGTGACCTTCAGATTTTTGTGGAAATTTATTAACAATGTTTGACTCTCGAGTTTTGAGAGCCCAAAGAAAGTTTTTGATAGAAACTTTCTTTTCTTGGTGATATACTCTCCTTGATTGTGACTTCTTCCTCTTCTTCCTCTTTTTGTTCTTTTCTTTCTCCTTCACCTTCTCCTCCTCGTTCTCCTCCTTGTTTCTGCTTTTGTTAACCAAGGTCTGGAAAGATTTTACTTTTCTGTTTACTGTTTTATTTAAGCTTGTGTTGAGAGTAATAAGGAAATCGTAGAAATCAGAGAGAATGGCATAGGCCCTGTAAGTCACCATCATCTTTAATGCGGATGTTAACCAGTACAAGAACCCCGTTAGAGTTGCATTTGCTTTCTAGGGCAAGATCTTTGCTCTAAGTTTTTTTAAACACATGGCTGTCTATCTTTAAAAAAACAAATCATTTTTATTTTATAGAGTATAATTGTCGAACAGTCTTAGCTTTACAGAAAAATTTAGAAGATATTAGAGTTCCCATATACCCTGCACCCAATACCCCTACTATTATGATAGTCCTTACTATTAAGATGGTACTTTTCTGCCGCGCGCGATGACTCACGCCTGTAATCCCAGCACTTTGGGACGTCAAGGCGGGCAGATCACCTGAGGTCAGGAGTTCGAGACCAGCCTGGCCAATATGGTGAAACCCCTTCTCTACCAACAATACAAAAATCAGCCAGGCATGGTGGCGGGCACCTGTAATCCTAGCTACTCGGGAGGCTGAGGCAGGAGAATAGCTTGAACCCTGGAGGTGGAGATTGCAATGAGCAGAGATTGTGCCACTGCACTCCAGCCAGGGCGACAAAGTGAGACTCAAAAATAAATAAATAAATAAATAAAATGCCGGGCACGGTGGTTCACGCCTGTAATCCCAGCACTTTGGGAGGCCGAGGCGGGCGGATCACCTGAGGTCAGGAGTTTGAGACCAACCTGGCCAACATGATGAAACCTCGTCTCTACTAAAAAAACACAAAAATTAGCCGGGCGTGATGGCGGGCGCCTGTAATCCCAGCTACTCGGGAGGCTGAGGCAGGAGAATCGCTTTACCCGGAGAGGCGGAGTTTTCAGTGAGCCGAGATCGTGCCACTGCACTCCTGCCTGGGTGACAGAGCGAGACTCCGTCTCAAAAAAAAAAAAAAAAAAAAAAAAAAAAAAAAAAAAAGAAAAGGGTGATTTTGTGTTGTGTTTGTTAAATTCATGAAACAAGTAGGACAAGACCATAAATTGAAAAACCAAGCCCATTCCAAATTACGAATGCCTCCGGTAGTACCTATGCCAGGGACAAAGTGCACTTTAATAGTCAATACACAGGTTGCTTACCGGGTTCTTGTTTTTTTTGTCAATAGTCTTCTTTCATTTCAAGTTCCCAAAGTCTTGGGAACAAGCCGGTTTTTTTTTTTTTAACTGGCTTGCAGAAAGCTCAAGGAGATGTGCAGAAAGTAAAGATATTTCCTGACAATAGTAAGAACACGACCACGAAGGGACTCGAACCCTCAATCTTCTGATCCGGAATCAGACGCCTTATCCATTAGGCCACGCGGCCGCACGCGGGTGCTAATTTGCACACATCAAGACTGAAGTGTAGTGAGGAAACGTTGAGTTTCTGTTTTCAAACCTTTAACTTCGTAATTAGAGATTTAACAACTTGAAGGGGGGCGGGGAGAGGCGGGGGAGGAGGTGGGCAGAAGGAATAAAACTCCATCTAAAATTCCTAATAGCAATTCCTTAGAATTATAAACTGCGAGATGATCAGAAGTGACATCTTTGCCTTCTTTGAAGGCTCTCTTCTCTAAGTTACTAATAATGATAATGCACGTTCGGGTACAGAAATATGAGCCAAGAACTCAAGTCTGCAATGAAGGAGTGGACATGACAGCGTAAGAGGGAGCATCATTGTTTGATCTATTTTAACCTTTTCCGTCTCAAAGATACGATGGTGCTTCCTCCAGGAAGAAAAGCCTGTAAGCTCAAACAAGAGCTCCCCTGGAACAGAAGACACTGGAGACCGTAAGAGGTGGGAGGTTGGAAGGGGGAAAAGGATAGAAAAACTGCCTGTTGGGTATTATGCTCACCACATGGGTGACGGGTTCAATCGTACTCCAGACATCAGCAACACGCAATACACCCTTGTCCCAAACCTGCACTGTACTCCCTGAATCTAAAATAAAAGTTGAAATTAAAAAAAAAAAAAAAGCTCCCCCTTGTCAGAAAAGCCCCAAGTATTTTGCCTAAAGGTTGATTGCTCTAAGCTCACCTTTGGATTGATCCAGAAAACAGTCTGGGGCGATTTTTTGTTACCCTTTCCCCAGCTATGTCCCCTATGTTGATAGGGTAGGAAAGATTAAAAAAAAAAACAACAACCAAGTTTGTAAAGTAAACCAATCACAGATTCCCTCAGTTTTCGCATCGTCTTGGCTTCATGGAAATGACGAGTTACTGGGAAGAAACTATTTCATTTTTCCAGTGCCCAGTCCTATCTCCTTTCCCCAGAGAGATGCATCTCTCAGCCCTAAACTTTTCCTGGATCCCTTGTACACCATTTTCTCCAGGTTTCTCCAGTCAAAACTCAAGAATTGTTTTAGGCCATATTTTGGATGGTGTATCCTATGTACACTAATTTATTAAGTAATGACCCATGTTTGAGACCACGGAACGCTAGTTCTGGGGCCGGACTAGATGAGTCTGGGTAGACAAAAGAAAGGTCTTCTGCTGTTCCCTATGAAACTGATTTAGTTAAGTCCCTTTCTTTCTCAGAAAGCGTCCTATGAGGAGCATTAGATTGAATAAGGGTTTCTGGTGTGATCCAGTTTGGGGAGGCTACTTGCTCTAGTCAGTGCTGAAGAATCCATCTCCATTTTGGGCAAGATGCACTACCATGACTTATGTTTCAACAGACTCAAACTTATTCACATGTTTTGAAATTGTTCTCAGTTTTGCTTCCTCACCTTCTCACTAGTGGATTTTGTGCCCAAAGAATAGCAATCCAAAATCTCAAAATCTAACAAATTTAAATAAAAGGGCATTTTTTGTTCAGTCTGGAGGAGGAAAAGTTAACTGGCAGACGTAGGCAGCAGATAGTAAAGTTGGCACAGTTAGTAAGGTTGGTAGACTGAGCCAAACCATCGAAATCTATTTATTTATTGTTATATTTATTTATTTATTTATTTATTCCTGCTGTTTGCAGAGCAGGGGTACCCTATAGAAAGTGTGTCCAAAGTAGCCTGAAATTTCTTTCTTCAGGAAGATGCTAAAAAGGATTGGCACTGAGATTTGAAAGAATAATGCTAAGAAACTATTAAATTGTATGAAATGTTTGTTTATACCAGTGATACCATTTCCTTTCCAAAGCCTTTCAGTGTTTTCTCTGATGCCTTTTGATTTTTATCTGATGGGTTCCAGGCAAGATTCCTTTAAAATGTTTAAATATTTCTAACAAAAGTATTTTGGGAGGAATCCAAGAGAGATTTGAAAGTATGACATTCTTAATCTCTCTATAACAATCTGTCTAGATAATTTCACTGAAGAAATGAATGGAGGAGGGTGTCTGTAGATAAAGGTTTCTATAATTGAGATTTGAAAAAAATAGAATTTATTTATTTGTTTAGATGAAACCAGACAACTTTCCAAGCCCTGAATCAAATTGGGGGATGTATTGCACCTTTAGACAAAGAATCTCCCAATGTAGCTACTTTAGCCATTTTACAAAAACCCATAATGCATGACCCTAATAATGTTCTTAACTTTAGAATTTGGAAAACTCAGCATTTCCTGTGAGGTGTGATCCAGTGTACAACAAACGTTCACTCACACACACAGAAAGAACTAAGATTTGCAGCACTTATGGTCTGGTTATTGACCTGACGTGTGTGTGTGTGTGTGTGTGTGTGTGTGTGTGTGTGTGTGTATGTGTGTGTGTGTTGGGGATGGGGGCTACTGTGAAAGGAAAGGATAAAGAAAACTCAGCCAAGTAAAGATTTTCTACTCACATATCTATTTACCATTCTTTTGTCTATATGTCTTTTAAAAGAAGACATACAAATGGCAAATATATGAAAAGGTGCTCAACACCATTGATCATCAAATAAATGCAAATCAAAACTAAAATGAAATGTTATCTCACCCAAGTTAAAATGACTTTCATCCAAAAGACAGGCAAGGACGTGGAGAAAGGAGAACCCTAGTACACTCTTGGTGGGAATTTAAATTAGTACAACCGCTTTGGAGAATAGTATGGAGGTTCCTCAGAAAACTAAAAATATTACCATATATTCCAGCAATCCCCCTATTAGGCCTATACCCAAAAGAAAGGAAATTAGTATATCGAAAAGATATCTACACTGTCATCTTTATTGCAGCACTATTCACAATAGCCAAGATTGGGAAGCATCCTAAGTACCCATCAACAGATAAATGAATAAAGTAAATGTGGTACGTATACACAACGGGGTACTATTCGGCCATGAAAAGAATGAGGTCTTGTCATTTGCAAAGCGGATGGAACTATGTTCTGTGCGGGAAATGCGAGAGGGGAGAAGAAAAGACACACACACAATACCTTTAAGGGTAAATAACCTTTATCCCACGTAAACGGCAATGCAGATATAATAAACAAATGATACAATAAGCAAATTGCAATGGGAAGGGGAGAAGGGAAAAGATATATATATATATATATATACACACACTCACCAAATATATATATATATATATAAATATATATATTTATATATATGTACACTCACAAGACTATGAAGGATTCATCACCACACCGGGAAGCAACAGCCCCGGCTCCAGAGTCGGCCACTCGTCCATGCACAGAGAAGGAGAGGTCTCATGAAGCTCACGAGAGCCCTTCGCGACTGAGCTCAAGGAACAAGAAAAGGTCAACTTGTTTTTGCGATTGTCTGTTGTTTTTCAATAACTAACGTATAGGAATAGATTGAAATAGAGATTTCTCCAAAACAGCACTGGATGAACACCTCAAGGGGTTCATACAACCTGTTCAGGATTTGGTGACCATTGTTTGTGTCCACGTTCAATTGAGTTCAAATTTAATACGTAACTTTTCCTCCACAAACTAGAGGACATTAAGTTAAGCTATACACAGAAAGTAAAACTTCACATATTCTCTCTCATTTGTGGAAGCCAAAAATAAAACAATTGAACTCATGGAGACAGAGAGTAGAATGATGGTTACCAGATGCTGGGAAGGGTATTGGAGGGGGCAGTGAGATGGTTAATGGATACAAAAATATAGTTAGCATGAATAAGATCTATCATTTGATAGCACAACAGGGTGATTATAGTCAACAAAAATGTATTGTACATTTAAAAATAACTTAAAGATTATAACTGGAATGTCTGTAACAAAGAAATGATAAGGTGTTGAGGCGATGGATGAGGTGATGGATGCTTCGTTTATCCCAATATGATTATTACACATTGTATGCCTGCATCAAAATATCCCATGTATCATATATATACATATATATACTATGCAGCAGTAAAAATTAAAAATTAAAAAAAAGATCCATAGACGAAGAAAAAATATCTTCAAAAATAAAACAAGAAAAAAACAAAGAAAAGATCCATTATTAATTACTGCCTTTGTCTGTCTGTGTTTGGAGAACGAATATCTGGCAGAAAAATGCTTGCTGTGTTTAACATCACTATTTCTAAAACCTTTAGACTGTGACCAGCAAAAGCGGCACTAAATACTAAACCAAAAGACACTGTTACACGCGGTTTTCCTCTCTGGCCAGCCAGACCGCCGGTCTGAGGTCCACTTGCCAAAGTGATGCCTGGCTGGCAGTTTCATCCACCAACAGAAAGGGGTCCATTATGGAATGTTCTCTTGCATCTTCAAATTCTTCCTCCTTCGTCTCTCTTACCCTCTGCCTACAAAGGCTTCAAGAAAGAGATGCAAGACAATACTGAGGGATACGAACAAAAGTAGCTCCACAGTTGCCTCGAGAAGTTTAGGTTGCAGGTAATTGGCGAGAATGAAACCCTCTGTATCTAGCAACTCCGCAGTGCTTTGTGTAGAAGACGCTCCATCTCAGGTTACGAAAATCTACAGAAAGGAAATGTTTAAAAAGAGAAAAGGAAAATATTCCTAGGGATTATAATGTCTCTCTTAAGCAGGGTCTTCGAAAAGAGGATAATTCAAGTAATATGATTTACAAATTGCAACATGAAACAAAATGAACTGAACAAATGGAGAAATCTAGATTACATACTCCGTGGGTTGCGTCTACCCAGGGCCTGGATAGCTCAGTTGGTAGAACATCAGACTTTTAATCTGACGGTGCAGGGTTCAAGTCCCTGTTCAGGCGAAATATTTGTGTGTTTTACTCTAGCTCCGGAGTCCCCAACCTCCAGTAAACGTAACCGCGTATCAGGCAGCGCGGCAGGCGAGCCAGAGAAGTTTCATCTGTCCTTATACAGCAACTCCCCAACGCTCCTGCGACCGCCTGAGCTACTCTTCCTCCCAGATAAGCGGGGGCGTCAGATTCTCACAGAAGTCCAAACCCTATTGTGAACTGCGTATGAAAGGGATCTAGATTGTGGGCTCCTTATGAGAATCTAATGCTTGATAATCCGTCACTGTTTTCCATCAGTGCCAGATGGGACTGTCTAGTTGCAGGAAAACAAACTCAAGGCTTCCAGTGATTCTACATTATGGTGAGTTGGATACTTATTTCATTATATATTACAATATAATAACAATATTAAAAAAGTGCACAATAAATCTAATGTGCTTGAATCATCCCAAAATCATCCCCCCCAACCCCTGCTCCCTCATCCATGGAAAAAACTGTCTTTCATGAAACGGTCTCTGGTGCCAAAAAGGTGGGGAACTGCCGCCCAAGATAGTTTATACCAATTAAGCACAGGAAGAAGTTCAGATACTTGTTTGTACAGTGACTAAAACTTTGCTACTTTATGCTTTACAAATGTGGAATGATTTACATCATGAAATTACCAGCCCTAAGGGATTGCCTTAGTGAAGTTGTTTTCCAAACACCAGAATACAGAAATCTAAACTATTTTAGAGACTGTTGACCTGGAGATTTGCATTTTTACATATTTTTTAGAGAATCTCCTTCAACGGTTAACTGAAAACAAAATCAATCAAAATTTCTAAACTCTAAAAACAGAGAAAGAGATATTGAAAGCAAGAAAAGAGACAAAACACCTTACCTACAGAGAAAACCAATTTGCATAACAGTGGGTATCTTATCAGAAATCACAGAAGTCAGAAAGAGTGGCACAACAGTTTTCAAGGACCGAAAGAAAAGAATTGTTAATTCTGAATTCTATATCCACAGAAAATATCCTTTAGAACTGAAGAAGAAATCAAGACATTTTCAGAGCAAAGAAAACTAAGATAATTAGCTTCTAGCAGAATTATCCTTTAAAAAATAGTTAAATTTCTCCAGATGGAAAGAAATGATAAAAGAAGAAATAATTGACACCAGGAAAGAAGAAAGAACATGGTAAGCAAAAAAAAAAAAGGTAAAAACAATACATTTTCCTTTTCCTCTTGAGCTTTCTAAATTATGTTTAACAGTTGAAGCAAAAAGTGTAACATGACCGGGCACGGTGGCTCAGGCATGTAATCCTACCACTTTGGGAGGCCAAGGTGGGCAGATCATGAGATGAGGAGATCAAGACCAGCCTGACTAACATGGTGAAACCCCGTCTCTACTAAAAATACAAAAAATTAGCTGGGCATGGTGGCACACACCTGTAGTCCCAGCTACTCGAGAGGCTGAGGAGGGAGAATCACTTGAACCAGGGAAACGGAGGTTGCAGCGAGCCAAGATCACGCCACTACACTCAGGCCTGGGCAACAGAGTGAGACAATGTCTCAAAAAAAAAAAAAAAAAAAAGAAAGAAAGAAAAAAGTATAACATGGTTCGATGTGGTTCGAAATGTATGTAGAAGAAATAATTTAAGACAATTATATTACAAGTAGGAGAGGCAAAGTGACAAAAAGGTAAAGATGACACACATCACTTTAACTGATAAAATAATGATACCAGTACACAGTGATAAATTAAATAAATATGTAATACTCAGACAAATCACTAAAAGAGTTATATAAAGAGATCATTTAAAAACACTACAGATAGGCTGGGCACAGTGGCTCACACCTGTAATGCCAGCACTTTGGGAGGCTGAGGGGGATCACCTGTGGTCAGGAATTCGAGACCAGCCTGGCCAACATGGTGAAACCCTGTCTCTACTAAAACTACAAAAATTAGCTGGGCATGGTGGCGCATGCCTGTAATCCCAGCTACTTGGGAGGCTGAGGCAGGAGAAAAAAAAAATCAAAAAAACAAAACCACACACACACAAAAACGCTACAGATAAATGACAATGAAATTCTAAAAAAGTATACTAGTAGTCCACAAAGAAGGCTTTAATAAATAAATACATACATACATACATATCCCCAGAAAATGGCAGTAACAGGGTACAAATAGAAAACAAACTGCTAGATTTCAGCCCTAACATATCAATAATTACATTAAATGTAAATGGTCGAAAGGTACCAATTAAAAGACAGAGATTAACAGAGTAGATTAGAAAATATAATCCAACTACATGCTGTCTACAAGAAACTTATTTCAAATATAATTATACATACAGGTTGAAATTAAGCATATAAAAATATATAACATTCAAATGTTAATTAAAAGAAAGCAAAAGTGAGTATATTAATATAATATGAACTTTATTTATTTATCTTTTTTCTTTGAGATGGAGTTTCACTCTTGTCACTCAGACTGGAGTGCAATGGCGCGATCTCTGCTCACTGCAACCTCTGCCTCCAGGGTTCCAGTGATTCTCTTGCCTCAGCCTCCCAAGCAGCTGGAATTACAGGCACGTACCACCATGACTGGCTAATTTTTGTATTTTTAGTAGAGATGGGGTTTCACTATGTTGGTCAGGCTGGTCTCAAACTCCTGACCTCAGGTGATCTACCCACCTCAGCATCCCACGGTGCTGGGATTACAGGCGTGAGCTACCACGTCTGGCCTAATATAAGCTTTAGAACAAAGAAAAATTTTAAAAATCCACCAAGAAGGCATAACAATCCTAAATATGTATAAACCAAACAGAGTTGAAAATATGTAAAGAAAAAAAGAATTTTTAAAAAATAGACAAATCCACAATTACATTAGAGACTTCAACACTTCTCTCATAATAATCGATAGAACAACTAAACAGAAAATCAGCAAGGATGTTGAAGAACTCAAAATCATCTTCAGCTAACAGAATTCAGTCAACATTTAAAGAAGACTCCACACAAGAAAAGCAGAACACACAGAACACAGGTCAAGATGGAACATATTCTGGGCCATAAAACAAACCTCAAATTTAAAAGAATTAACTCACACAGTATGATCCCTGACCACAATGAAATCAAACTAAAAGTCAATCACAGAAAGACAACAGAAGAACATCCAAACACTTGGAAAATGAACAACACACTACTAAATAGTACACAGGACAAAGAGAAAGACTTAGTAGATATCAAAAAATAAATTAACCTGAATAAAAATGAAAGCACAATATACCAAAATTTTCAAGACAACCTAAAAAAACACTGAGAGAGAAATGTATACCACTAACTGCATACATTAGAAAAAGAAAAAAGTCTCAAGTCAGTCATCTAAACTTTTATTTGAAGAACCCAGGTGGGGAAAAAAGCAAAATAAACCCAAAGCAAATAGACAAAAGATAACAATAAAAATAAGAACAAAATTCAGTGAAACGGAACACAAACAAAAAAAGAAAAACAAACAAAAAGCTAGTTCCTTTAGATCAATAAAAGAAGACCTCTAGTAAGACAGAAATTTTAGGAAGAGAGATGACACAAATTACCAATATCAGGAATAAAAAGAGGATATCACTGTAGACTCTGCTGACATCAAAAGGATATGTTTTTGGATGATTTCCTTTAAAAAATTTAGCCGGGCTCGGTGGCTCACACCTGTAATCCCAGCATTTAAAAAATAACTAGCCATGCATGGTGGCGGGTGCCTGTAATCCCAGCTACTCGGGAGACAGGTAGGAGAATCGCTTGAACCGGGAGGTGGAGGGTGCAATGGGCCGAGATAGCACCATTTCACTCCAGCCTGGGCAACAAGAGCGAAACTCCGTCGCAGACTTTTTCTCCCCCTTGTAAGGTCGGAGCGTTCCCACTCAGGAAACAACATTTCTCTACTCTAGGTTTATCTGGCCTCGCATCTCTCCCCAGCTGGGCCCAGCCTCAGCCTATGCTGCAGAAATGTTTAAAGTCAAGCATGTAGAGAAGGAAAAAAAAAAAGGAAAGTGATGTGGAAATTAAAATAGCAGCTGCATAGGAATCTCAACATAGTGCTTAAAATGTGCATAAACGAGACTAGGAGTGCCCTGCGCTTTTGTGAAAACTTCATTTAGAAATAAATGAGAAAGAAGGTGGAGAGGAGCCGAGAACCAGCAGGTGGGGAAAGGGAAGAGGCAGGCTAGAGTTAAAAAATGAAGGAGGAAAAGCATCCTCAAGATTATTCAGAATATATATATATATAATATACATAGTATATACTAATAATATATAAGGATATATTATATCCTAATAATATAAGTAAATAATAATATATAACTTGTTAAATAATCATATAAATAAATATATTTTATAATTATGTTATTTATTATATAATATTAACATAACATATTATCAATATAATATTTTATATAACATATGTAGTATGATATATCCTAATATATAAAAATAATATTAGGATAAGGGAATACTATTGTGGTGGTAAACTGAGGAACGGAAAGACTGATACAGGAGAACAGGAGGATATTTATTTTAAGGTAAGCAGCCACTGAGTGGATTCACATCCAAAAAGTTGAGCACTGGCCGGGCCTGGTGGCTCACGCCCATAATCCCAGCACTTTGAGAGGCCAAGGCTGGCAGATTACCTGAGGTCAGGAGTTCGAGACCAGCCTGGCCAACGTGGTGAAACCCCGTCTCTACTAAAAATACAAAAATTAGCCAGGCGTGGTTGCACATGCTTGTAATCCCAGCTACTCGGGAGGCTGAGGCAGAATTGCTTGAGCCCAGGAGGCGGAGGTGACATTGAGCCAATATCGTGCCACTGCACTCCAGCCTGGCCGACAGAGCAAGACTCTGTCTCAAAACAAAACAAACAAACAAAAAATGCTGAGCGTTGAACAAAGACAGAGCAGGAGTTTTTATAAGCAAAACAAAGGCAGTTAATCATACAGTGCTTAATTTGTGGCCTTGCAGCTGCGTCAAAAGAAAAACAAGAACTGACTAAATACAGACATTTGTAAAAACAGTTATGCTTAAGAAGCCAGGGAAAGGAGTAACAGTATAGGAATTTGCCTTTCCTTTTTTTCCCTTCAACCTTGTTCTTGGGTGGGGTGGGAGAAGGGCGTGTCTGGAAGCCGTTCCTTTGGCCTTGGCTTTTCGGAAAGTGTTATCTTGTAACTGTCCTTGAAGTGAGCTGCTAGGCAAACGAAAACTTGTTTCTTTTCTTTTTAACCCTTTCCTGTTACTTTTCTTGGAGTGAATGAATGCATATTTATTTTTAAATTTCTGCCTTACTATGAATAACTCTTTACACACAAACTTGACAATTTAGATGAGATAGACTAATTCCTTGAAAAACACAAATTAACACAACTAACTCAATATGTAATACATTTTTTATAACCCTGTAACTATTAAGGGAATTAAATTTGTAACATAATTTAAAAAAAAAATCAAGAATCTGGCCGGGCGTGGTGGCTCATGGCTGTAATCCCAGCACTTTGGGAGGCCAAGGCGGGCTGATCACCTGAGGTCAGAAGTTCGAGACCAGCCTGGCTAACATGCTGAAACCCCGTCTCTACTAAAGATACAAAAATTAGCCGGATGTGGTGGCAGGCACCTGTAATCCCAGCTACTTGGGAGGCTGAGGCAGGAGAATCGTTTGAACCTGGGAGGCAGAGGTTGCAGTGAGCCAAGATCGCACCATTGCACTCCAGCCTGGAGGCCAAGAGCAAGACTTCGTTTAAAAAAAAAAAATCAGGAATCTTCGAATCCAAGAAAATTTCACTGAAGAATTCTAAGAAGTTCTTAAGGAGGCCAGGGGCGGTGGCTCATGCCTGTAATCCCAGCACTTTGGGAGGCCGAGGTGGGCGAATCATGAGGTCAGAAGACCGAGACCATCCTGGCTAACACGGTGAAACCCCGTCTCTACTGAAAAAACAAAAAATTAGCTGGGCGTGGTGGCAGGGAGCCTGTAGTCCCAACTACTCGCTGGAGAATGGCGTGAACCCGGGAGGCGGAGCTTGCAGTGACACTCCAACCTGGGCGACAGAGCGCGACTCCGTCTCAAAAAAAAAAAAAAATGGTTAAAGAATTAAAACAAGGTCTACACAATCTATTCTGAAAAAAACAGAAGAGGACAAAAAACTTTCCATTTATTTATGAAGTTAATAGTATCCTGATGCTAAAACCAGGTAAATACAGTACAAAATAATGAGTATTGGTGCATAAATACTTACCAAAATATTATCAAATAGAATTCAGGAATATATAAGAAGCATTATACACCATGATCAAGTGGGGTTTATTCCAGAGACGTAAGACTAGGTAAATTTAGAAACAATCACTGCAATCCACCATATTAACAGGCTAAAAAATAAAATCACGTGATCATATCACAGTAGAAAAAGAATTTGTCAAACTTCAATAGCTACTCATGACAAAAAGTCTCAGAAAAATAGGAATAGAGAACAGCTAACACTGTACATCACGGTAAAAGACAGAATGTGTATTAGTCCGTTTTCACACTGCTATGAAGACACTACCTGAGACTGGGTAATTTTTTTTTTTTTTTAAGATGGAGTCTTGCTCTGTCGCCCAGGCTGGAGGGCAGTGGCCTCCTCTCGGCTCATTTCAACCTCCGCCTCCTGGGTTCAAGCAATTCTTCTGCCTCAGTCTCCCGAGTGGCTGGGACTACAGGCGCAGGCCACCATGCCCGGCTAATTTTTGTATTTTTAGTAGAGACAGGGTTTCACCGTATTGGTCAGGCTGGTCTGGAACTCCTGAACTCATGATCCGCCCGCCTCTGCCTCCCAAAGTGCTGGGATTCCCGGCGTGAGCCACTGTGTCTGGGTAATTGATAAAGGAAATAGGTTTAATTGAGTCACATAGCTGAGGAGGCTTCGGGAAACTTACAATCATGGCGGAAGGGAAATGGGAAGCAAGGACCTTCTTTACATGACAGCAGAAGAAAGAAGTATGAGCAAAAGAGGAACTTGCCAAACACTTATGAAACCATCAGATCTCATGAGAACTCACTCACTATCACCAGAACAGCATGGGGGAAGCCACCCCCATGATCCAACTACCTCCCACCAGGTTTCTCCCACAAAGTCAAAGGAATTAGAATAATTATTTAAAATCTAGGAGGGAAAAACAGTCTACCTGATTTCAAGACTATTTCATTACATTGTTGTATTCTTGTATTATTGTATTATTACTACAGTAATTAAGACTGTATAGTATTGGCAAGGAGATAGGCACGTGGTTAATAGAGAGAATGGAAAAATAAACCTACACAAATATTCTCAACTGGTTTTTGACAAAGTTGCCTAAGTAGTAATTCCATGGAAGAAAAATAAGTCTCATGCCTTCACAAAAGTGAACTTAAAATGGATCGCAGATATGAATATAAAATGTAAAACTATAAAACTTTGAGGAAAATATATGGAAGATAATATTTCCAATCTAGGGCTAGACAAATAATTTTACAGTTGACAGTGAAACATGATCCAGAGATCTTGTAAAAGCTGGTTCTTTTTTCCTCCTTTCCTCTCCTGCTATGTCAGTTGCTTTGGCTGGTACAGAGGCTGACCAAATAGAAATAGAAATAAGAGAGCAGTAAAGGCAATGAATTGGGTCATGTTTTTACTTTTTATGTGACAAAGAAATGACAGAATTGGTGGCCAGGTGCAGTGGCTCATGCCTGTAATCCCAGCACTTTGGGAGGCCAAGGAGGGCAGATCACCTGAGGTCAGGAATTCAAGACCAGCCTGGTCAACATGGTGAAACCCCACCTCTACTAAAAATTAGCTGGGCATGGTGACGCGCACCTGAAATCCCAGCTACTTGGGAGGCTGAGTCAGGAGAATCACCTGAACCCAGGAGGCAGAGGCTGCAGTGAGCCAAGATCACGCCACTGCGCTCCAGCCTGGGTGATAGAGTGAGACCCTGTCTCAAAAAAAAAAGAAAAGAAAAGAAAAGAAAGAAATGAGAGAAAAGGAAAGAAAAGGAGAAAGAGAGAAAGAAAGAAAGAAAAAGAAAGAAAGAAAGAAAGAAAGAAAGAAAGAAAGAAAGAAAGAAAGAAAGAAAAGAAAGAAAGGAAAAAGAGAAAGAAAGAGAAGGGAGGGTAGAATGATAAGAAAGGAAAGAAATAAAGAAAATTGGCTCAAAAGAGTCTCCTGGCTGACAAGAACTCTGGTGAGTTCTTCTACAGGAAAATCAGTCTCTTGTGTGTGACTACCAAAATCATCTAAAATGTTGACGGTGTCAAAGAGATAATAAATGCATCCCCACCCCTGATGTAAGGCAAATACAAACCTCACTGGCTTTCCTAGGTGGTTTGAGTTTTTGATTGAGAATAGGCAGGGAACCCCGGGAACAGCTCTTCCTCCTCAGCAGGCGCCTGGCCCTGGACCACCTTCTTAAACCTCTAGAACAGTGCTTCTCAAACTTTAGCATCAGCGGCTGGGCGGGTGGCTCACTCCAGTAATCCCAGCACTTTGGGAGGCCGAGGCGGGCGGATCACGGGGTCAAGAGTTCGAGACAAGCCTGACCAACATAGTGAAACCCCGTCTCGACTAAAAATACAAAAATTAGCTGGGCATAGCGGCGCGCGCCTGTAATCCCAGCTACTTGGGAGGTTGGGGCAGAAGAATCGCTTGAACCCGGGAGGCAGAGATTGCAGTGAGCCGAGGTTGCACCACTGCATTCCAGCCTGGGCGAGAGGGCGAGACTCCGTCTCAAAAAACAAAACAAAACAACTTTAACATCAGAGTCACTTGAGGGCTTATTCAAACACAGGCGGCTGGACGCCACCCTCAGCAATTCTGACTCAATAGATCTGAGGTTGGGCCTGGAATTTGGCATTCCTCTTGTAGCACCCTGATCCCTCACCCCTTATTCTCCTGTGCAGTGTCCACTGTGACTAACATGCCACTATTTGCTTAAAGTGCCTGGAGAGAACCAGTGGATAGAAGGGAAAACAAGTATGAAACGAAAAGAAAATGTCTGCATTACCTTCCTTCAAACAAAAAAAAAAAATGTATCTTATAACGAACATATGGTTTGTCCCTGGGGCACACAACCAGTCTTCAGCTAAGCAGGTTTCACTAGACAATATCTCTCCTGTAGGCTGGTTATGGATATTTTCACTGAACAAAAGAATCGAGAAGTAAGGACAGCCTACCCTGACAGAGTGTTAGACTGGTGGACTGATGACAAACATCGTACTCTGTTGCCTCTCAAAGACACTTTTGATTCAACGGCAAACATATACACAGAGGACAGCAGTTTTGAAACATGCAGCATTGGAAACCCCTAAAAGGTGTCATCAGTAGATAGGATTTCCTGGAGTTCCCTCGTCATACAAAGCAGATGTGATAGGATTGACAAAGAAAAAAGAATTTTTTTTTTTTAATTAGAAGTGCCAACACACCTGCAATTTACTCACCTTTACTTTGCATCTATTTTCCATTGTGGCAGAAAAGCTTTCTCTACTTTTTCATATGGGGCCTCTGTTTGCTGTTAACAGAGGTTTCCAGGCAATGTTTTATGTTATGTTATATTTTATTTTATTTTGAGACGGAGGTTCTCTCTTGCTGCCCAGGTTGGAGTGCAATGGTGGGATCTCAGCAAACTGCAACCTCCGCCTCCCGGGTTCAAACGATTCTCCTGACTCAGCCTTTTGAGTAGCTGGGATTACAGGCGTGCGTCACCACGCCCGGCTAATTTTGTATTTTTAATAGAGACGGAGTTTCTCCATGTTAGTCAGGCTGGTCTCGAACTCCCGACCTCAGGTGATCGCCCCGCCTCGGCCTTCCAAAGTGCTGGGATTACAGACGTGAGCCACCGCGCCCGGACCTCAGTGTTTTATTTTAACGAGGAGAATGGAGTGACTGATGCAATACAGGAAAATGAATCAATCGTATGGACTATCAGTAGGGAATGTGTTGATCCTTATTGATTTCGCTCCTTCCGTGTTGAAGACCTCTAATTCCCCGACAGTCTTCGTTCGGTTGTCCAGCGTCCTGCCACTCTCATCTCAAGCGGCTGGAGAGCCACATTTTCTCAGCTTTGGATCGCACTTGTGGCTGTGCTCTCTGCGCAGTTCGACAGGGAGAGAAATCAGTGGACAGATGCTTTGACTCTGGATTTGGCTCAGAAAACAAAAACAACGACCAAAACGAAATGCCCGGGGGGCGGGGGGGGGCTTTTCTGCCTTTCTTCTTCTCAGCCTTTCCTTCTCTTTAATCATAGTACAAAACCGAAGCCAAAGTGAGCCGCCTGTTGATGTGCACGCTTTTGTTTGCTTTCAAGAGACCCTGTTGCGACCTCATTCTTCTTTCTCCTCTTCCTTCTGCCGTCGCAATCGCCTTAGGTGATGTTGAGGCTTACATTATAGAGATGGGAGATAAGTGAAGGCAATCCATTGGGTTACGTTTTTACTCTCTATACGTGCAGAAATAGGATAGAAAAAGGTGAGGAGGCAGAAGGCTATGTTGCTTGAGAATTACATTTAAGCACTGCCAGAGCAAAACCACCATTTGGAGGTGCCGGGGATCGAACCCGGGGCCTCACACATGCAAAGCATGTGCTCTACCACTGAGCTACACCCCCCTCCTGAAAGACTGTTTTGTAATAATTTTCAGGAGGTAACTTTCATTTTCTGAGACTGGCTCCGTGAGCATGCTGGTAGTAGTGGTTAGTATCATGGAGCGCCTTCAGCTGCTCTGAGTAGAAGATACTCGGTACTAATGAGGGGATACAGATTCTTTAGTATACTGTACAGGACTTGAAATGGAAAGCAAAGTATTAGAAAAGTGTCAGATAACCGCCAAAAGAAGTTTCCAATGTGGCTTTAAAACGTTGAGTTGTCAGGATCTCCTTCTTCTGTTATGCTTGGCAAGGAATCAAATTCTGGTTTTTCATTCTTTCGATTTCTTTCAGAGATGACGCAAAGTTATTGAAATTCAGCTTTTTCTTACCTAAAATGCTTCATATTTGTTGTTTACTCAGCCGGAATATTAAAGGTTAGATTTGATTGAGGAAAATCACAGTCAGAAGAAAACCTGAGAGCGATGCACTCAGCATTTCATCTTAAGGGTCTTTAGCTGGTGTGTTGTCCTGCGCCTGTACTCACAGCTATTCCAGAGGCTGAAGCAGGAGGATCACTTGACCTTGGGAGCTGGAGGCTGCAGGGAGCTATGATCACGCCACTGCACTCCAGCTTGGGTGATGGAGTGAGACCCTGTATCAAAATCAAAAAGAAAAGAAAAGAAAAATTTATAAGGTGTGAGTGAAACAACACCTCTAGGGATGACGAGAAGAGTTGAATTATGAGGGTGAGATAAAAAATAAGTAGAAACAGGATTTAAGAGGTACGGGGGAAAGTGGTTTAGAAAAACAAACAGGCTATTGCCAAACAGAAGGAGGTGTAGAAAAGGGGAGTTTTTAACAACTCTTTAAGGAATGGGAGAAAGATTGGAAGATGGAGAAGATAAGTTAGCTTGGCTCATGCTAAATTCGGTGTATCTGTGGGGCACACTGTGAGGATGTTACATGGAGAACTCAGGCAATTGACTCTCCAGCCTGGGGTTTGTGAGCATTAGTAGTAGTAGACATATTGCATAGAGGGTGGATAAAGACTAAAAAGGGTCCTTTTAGATTTGGGAATTACAAACCTATTCACGATATTTGTTTAAAAGAAAAAAAAGCCGGGTGTGGTGGCTCACGCCTGTAATCCCAGCACTTTGGGAGGCCAAGGCGGGTGGATCACCTGAGGTTGCAAGTTCGAGACCAGGCTGGCCAACATGGTGAAACCCTGTCTCTACTAAAAATACAAAAATTAGCTGGGTGTGGTGGTGCATTCCTGTAATCCCAGCTTCTCGGGAGGCTGAGGCAGGAGAATTGCTTGAACCTAGGAGGTGGAGGTTGCAGTGAGTGAGATCATGCCATTGCTCTCCAGCCTGGGCAACAAGAGTGAAACTCTCTCTCAAATAATAATAATAATAATAATAAAGTAAAAAAAAATTTTTTTTAAAGTTTGCTCCTCTATGTTCTTGAACCCTGGTATTTATTATTATTTATCATGATTAGGGCTGTGTTCTTTGAACTACATAAGAAGATGAGAAGAAAATCCATTTCCTGACACCAAATTTCTAGTGACTGTTAACTCTTTCTCATTCTGATTTACTCATATATGAGCCTTTGCCAACACTCATGAAATAACATTGATCCCTTGTAGAACTGGCAGAAAACAGCAGGTTATATGGCAGACTTGTCTTTTCGGTTGGCTGATGGAATTTCTAGAACAAAAATAGGAAGCACTGAATGCTAGGTTTCACTGAATAAGAAACAAGAGAAGTGTTACACACAAAACTAGTGTTTGTGTGTGTGTTTGACTGTCTGTGTGTGCATGTAAATGCTAGGGAGATAATCTTAGCTCTTTGATGCTGCAGAAGTAATATTAGGACAATTTGCAGAAACACTCCTTCATCATTATGTCATGTTGCACCCAGAGAAACCTGGATGTCTACTGGATTCTTGGGAATTCATCATAATATGAAGGTCTGCTTTTTTGTTTGCCTCTTGAAAAGGAGAGAATTTTAAATAATTAAATATCTGTAGCTCTCTTCTGACTAACAACAACACGACTGAAACACAGTTTTTTTTGTAAAAACTGTGGGATGAGCTTATTTAACACAGAATTCCTCTGAGGAATTAAACATTTAATCCTGAAGACAGAACACCCTCATGTGATACATACTCAATTCAGAAAACCTAAAAATATATAAAGTATCTGTTTAAACCTGCACTGTCCAATATGGTTACCATTAGCCACACTGGCTATTGAATGCTTGAAATTGCCCAGTCCAAGTTAAGAGTGTTGTAAGTGTAAAATACATATCAGATTTGGCCAGGCACAGTAGCTTGCGTCTGTAATCCCAGTACTTTGGGTGGCTGAGGTGGGTGGATCACAAGGTCAGGAGTTCGAGACCAGCCTGACCAACATGGTGAAACCCCATCTCTACTAAAAATACAAAAATTAGCCTGGCTTGGTGACACACACCTGAAATCCCAGCTACTTGGGAGGCTGAGGCAGGAGAATTGCTTGAACCTGGGAGGCTGAGGTTGCAGTGAGCCGACATCGGGCCACTGCACTCCAGCCTGGGTGACAGAGCGAGAATCCTTCGCAAAAAAAAAAAAAAAAAAAAAAAATATATATATATGTAAATATATATATACATACACACACCAGATTTCAAAGATGTGTAATACTATTTTTTAAATATAAAATATCTCACTAATAATTTTATAATTGATAGCTTCTTAAAATAAGTTTTTGGATATACAAAGTGATTTAAATATATTATTGAAACTGGACATAAAAGATAGCAACAACAAACACTGGGGACTATGGGGAGGGGTGGGAGGGAGGGCAGAAAGATTTGAAAAGCTACCTCTTGGGTACTATGCCTACTACCTGGGTGATGGGATCAATTGCACTCAAAACCTCATGCAATTTACCCAGCATCATGTAGTATACCCATGTAACAAACCTGCACGTGTACCCCCAAATCTAAAATAAAAATTGAAATTACATAAAAATATAAATATTGACTTTTTTTAATGCAACTACTGCAAAAGGTAACACTACAAAATGGCTGTCATTTAAAACTTGTATTATCTCTTGATTGGACAGAATTGTCTAAAGACAATGTTATCCATTTAGGTGCTGTTCTGGGAGAATCCCAGAAGCAGAGAACACGGAGCATGATCTGCCAGTAATTAAGTTTCATGCTGTGAGTGGACTTGACAGAATGCATTTCTATGCATGATCTCCTTTGATCTTTACAACATCCCATTTTACAAAATCATTATTAACATCATTTTTAAGCCATTGAATGGCAGACAAATCATGCTTGGAATTGCCCTAGGCCTTCCATTTCAACAGAATGTAAAGGAATCTTTACTGCGTTAGGCACAAAACATTCAATGTTACTGTTTGTCTAGTCAAATATTTCTTAATGGAGTAAAACACAAGCTTCTGAGTTGAGAAAGCCTCAGTGAAAGGATAAAGTACCTGATTCCCAGTTTCTGTACAGTCAATGTCCCTAACCCAAGGTTACTTCTCATTTGGTACTAATTTTCCTTTTGCAACTTGCTGCAGTTCTGATAGTGGAGTATTGTAGATTATTGTCTCCTCACAGGGTATGCAGAAGTTAGAGAAAAACAACACTGAAACTGAAGCAGTAATTTGAAAGAAAAAAAATCAAAATGACCAAAAAAAGACCTATTATCCCAACAGAGAATTTCAAGAGAGGAGTTGAAGTGAAAAAGGGAAAATGGGGCACATGCACCTGAGTCTTGACTTTGCTGCCCATTTGCTTTCATTTTCAGTATTCTAGAGCCCCTCATGAATGTTTGATAAAATAATTCATATAGAAATACATATATTTCTTTTTTCCTGGATACAAACATGGAAACAGCTTAAGATTTGGAAATTCTAGACAAGGTTGCCAGGCTAAAGAAATGTCTTCTCAGCAAGAAAATTTAGAATGTTCTTGTAATTGGGCCTGGTGCGATGGCTCCTGCCTGTAATCCAAGCACTCTGGGAGGCCTACCTAGGCAGGTGGATTGCTTAAACCTAGGATTTAAAGACCAGCCTGGGCAACACGGTGAAACCCACAGTCTACAAAAAAAATACAAAAAAAAAAAAAAAAAAAAATTTAGCCAGGCATGGTGGTGCTCGCCTGTAGTCCCATCTACTCAGGGTGCTGACATGTGGAGTCACTTCAGCCTAGAGAGGTTGAGGCTGTAGTGAGCTCTGATTGTATAACTGTACTCCAGCCTGGATGACAGAGTGAGACCCTGCTTAAAAGAAAGAAAAGAAAGAAGAAAGAAAGAAAGAAAGAAAGAAAGAAGAAAGAAAGAAAGAAAGAAAGAAAGAAAGAAAGAAAGAAAGAGAAAGAAAGAAAGAAAGAGAAAGAAAGAAAAAAAAAGTTCTTACAGCACTTTAATAATGGAGTTGACTCAAGATACAAACCCGGGTTTTTCTAATTTCAAAATGTTTCTTGCATACACCACACCCCCATATATATGCTCATACAGTATAATAGTTACTTCACTGTATGTTTCTTTTTTTCATATTTCTTGTGATTTAAAAATAACCCTCGCCCAATACATATAAATAATATCAAATCAAAAATGACTTGTAAATGCCACAGCATATAGCACGTTGGAATTTCTTAGGTTTTAAAACTAATAACTTCCTAAGTTTAAGACTTTAAATAAGGACGGGCTTAGTGGCTCACGCCTGAAATCCCAGCACTTTGAGAGGCCGAGGCAGGTGGATCACCTGAGGTCAGGAGGTCGAGACCAACCTGATCAACATGGCGAAACCCTGTCTCTACTAAAAATACAAAAATTAGCCGGGCATGGTTGCGGGGGCCTGTAATCTCAGCTTACTTGGGAGGCTGAGATATGAGAACAGCTTGAACTCAGGAGGCGGAGGTTGCAGTGAGCCGAGATCGCGCCGTTGCACTCCAGCCTGGGCGACGGAGTGAGACTCCGTCCAAAAACTTTAAATAATTTATGTAATGAGAGCACTTCATGGAAGACTTCAGTGGAATATACAAAGGAGAGAGTGATACAAACATGTACATTACCTTTATCAGACTTTCAAAAACTCCCAAAAATTGGAGATATGTAAGCTTCTGGGATTGGCGTATAAGTGCTGTATAAGGGAGTGATAATTAGGCAGAACTCAAAAGATGCTGGCTGAAACCCAGGGTTGAACCAGGGAACTTTAAGATCTTCAGTCTAACGCTCTCCCAACTGAGCTATTTCAGCTACTCTAAGCACACACCCTTAGTCATTTCTTCAAAATATAAAAACGTCATTTGTAGAGTGAGTGTATTTTCTAATGCCTAATTCTGTTTTGTTCAATATCAATACAAAAATTAGCCAGGGGTGGTGGTGCGCGCCTGTAATCCCAGCTACTAGGGAGGCTGAGGCAGGAGAATTGCTTGAACCCGGGAGGTGGCGGTTGCAGTAAGCCGAGATCACGCCACTGCACTCCAGACTGGGCGATAGAGGGAGATTGTCTAAAAAAAATAAATTAAATAAATAAAATAAGTGACAGGAAAAGAAAGAAAAGAAGGATCTCTTATGTCCTCCAGTACATTCTATCTCTTCCTTAGAGTTTTTAAAATTGTGGTCTCCACACTGGTGCATAACAACTCTTTTTTGTTGTTGTTTTCGAGACAGGGTCCCGCTCTGTTGCGTGGGCTGGAGTGCAGTGGTGCAATCTCGGCTCGCGGCAACTTCTGCCTCCCCGGCTCAGTGGATCCTCCCACTTCAACGGAGGGAGAGGGAGTCTCGCTCTGTCGCCCAGGCTGGAGTACAGCGGCGCGGAGTAGCTGGGATTACAGGCGCGCGCCACCACCCCTGGCTAATTTTTGTGTTGATATTGAACAAAAAAGAATTAGGCATTAGGAAATACGCCCACTTTACAAATGAAGATTTTTATATTTTGAAGAAATTGCTAACGGCACGTGCTTAGAGTAGCCAAAATTGCTCAGTTGGGAGAGCGTTAGACTGAAGATCTAAAGGTCCCTGGTTCGATCCCGGGTTTCACCAGGTTTGTTTGGTTTTTTTAGTTCTGCCTAATTATCACTCCCTTATACAACACTTGCACGCCAATCCCAGAAGTGTATATATCTCAATATAAATTCTTACGTTAAGTCAAAAGTGTAAAAACATTGAACTTCTCTGGTTAGACATAGGAACAAATTCAGATGTTTACAGAATTTCGGAAACAACCCTCTCTGGAATGAGAAAATTGCTGAGGCCGACGATGATTTGCAAACTGAATTTTAATAAAACCTTTTCTATGTCTTAACAGTTTTCAAACTCAATCTCCTGAGAGTCGAGGCTTTCTATTTTTAGCCAAAATACGGTGGGAGGGTCAATTAGGATATATTTTTCAATTATTTCCTCAAAAAAAGTTTTAGATTCTCTTACAGACTTTTTTCTCCCCTTGTAAGGTCTGAGCCTTCTCAGACAGGAAACAACATTCCTCTACTCTAGTTTTATCCCCGCCACGCGTCTCTCCCCAGCTGAGTGCAGCCTCAGCCTATGGTGCAAAAATGTTTAAAGCTGAGCATACAGAGAAGGAAAAGAAGAAAAAAAAAATAGAAAGTGATGTGGAAAGATCTACATATGAATCACAACACAGTGTTTAAAATGTGCGTAAACGGGTCTAGGAGTGCGCTGCACTATTGTGAAAAGTTCATTCTGAAAGCTGGGCGCAGTGGCTCATGCCTATAATCTCAGAACTTCGGGAGGCCGAGGCGGACGGATCACTTGAGATCAGAAGTTGGAGACTATCCTGGTGAAAATGGTGAAACCCCGTCCCTACTAAAAATACAAAAATTAGCCGGGCGTGGTGGGGGGCTCCTGTAATCTCAGCTAATCGGGAGACTGAGGCAGGAGAATCGCTTGATCCCAGGAGGTGGAGGTTGCAGTGAACCGAGATCGCGCCACTGCACTGCAGCCTGGGCGACAGAGCGAGACTCCGTCTCAAAAAAACAAAAACAAAAAACAAAAACAAAAGCAAACAAAAAACAAAAACAAACAAACAAAAAGTAAACGGGAGGAGCCGAGCGCCAGCTTGCGGGGAGACGGAAGAGGCGGGGTGCCGTGAAGTGGAGGAAGCAAAGGACAAAAGGGAGAGAGGTAGAGGGCAAGGAAAAGCATCCTCAAGATTATTAGTACTTGGATAGACTGGATGGTAGAGTGAGTCTGATCGCCACATCTCTCCGTCCCTTCCTCTGGATAGGAGGGAAGAGAGGTTCCTTTTTGTCCCTAGGGGGGTAGGCTCGACCAGGAAGGGGACCTGGTTCGTTTCGCCCAGGCTGGCACGGCTTCAAGAGCGCCTCACCTCTCTTTACGTTGCTGGACAGACCAGTTGAGCTCTTTGGGTATGCACGTAATGTCGCATTTTTATTTTCAGTTCAGGAAATGCTGATATTGGAGCTTCTGAGGGAGCTGCAGTGATTTCCCGATTTCCTGCGCGCCTGTGTGGAAAGTTAGAAGCGGAATCTACCGGCAGCTTTGAGACTAAGCATGACGGTGGAAACAGCTAATTTTATTAGCTTTTGTCTGAAATGCAAAAGATGAGAAAGAAAATTCCCGTTTGTTTGCTCCACATACTTCTCTTAGAAGCCTATGGAAAGCCAACTTTCCCCCTGAAGAAACTCCTCCTGGCATTTGCAAAGAGCTCCTTTACTCCTCTTGTCCAGCTCTTCTCTCAAAAGGACTCTGCAGAGCTGGACAGCGGCTGCGGAAAGGCGAAGTTGTTGTACCCGAGCGAGTTAGAGAAATGCCACACTTTGAGACGAATTTAAGAGTCCTTTATTAGCCGGCGACCAAAAGAGGACTAACGCTCGATATTCTCTCGGCCCCGAGGAAGGGGCTTGATTTTCCTTTATACTTTGGTTTAGAAAGGGGAGGGGGAGCTTAGTTGCAGCAATTCTACAGAAGTAAAAGCATGCAAAAAAATTAAAAAGACAAATGGTTACAGGTAAACAAACAGTTCCAGGTGCAGGGGCTCTAAATCTATCATAAGGCATTAGGTATGGGGGTTCTGCCAGACACAAACTCAAGGCTTTATGGTGTTATCTCTTGAGTGAAATCCTGGGAACTTCGTGCATTGTTTGCTTCAGTACCTTATCAGTTAATTGGACTCTGATATGTTGAGAGTCAGCTTACACAAGTTAACTGCTTGAGGAAGGGGGTGGGTAAGGAGTCCTTGATGTTTTGTAAATGAAGGAGCCAAATGGAGTTCGTCCAGCTTTCTCAGCTAAGGGACAGCCTATTCATGTGGAAATAAGGCTAGGTGATTAACGGAGAGTCTAAAAACAACGTTAGGTATTACATTCCCCACTTGTGTTTTTGGGGAATCAAATCGTTGATTCCTCAGTTATAATAAGGGGGTCATATTGAGTTCTAAGATACATAAATTTGACAGAAGCTATGCGTTGTTTTACAAAGTTAAGAAACTAATTTAATATACACGGCCTGAAAATTAAGCTTAATAGTAGGATGAGGAGGGGTCCAACTAACCTAGTGACTAGAGTAGTTAGCCATGGATTCCAGTTAAACATGCTTTGATACCAGGGGATGTTATTTTCTCTTTCTTGTTGGCATCTATCTAGATTTTCTCGAACCTTTTGGAGAGTATCTTTTATGACTCCAGACTGATTGGCATAGAAGCAACAACTTTCTCCTAGAGCTGCGCATAAACCTCCTTGAGAGAGGAATAGTAGATCTAAGCCTCAGCGGTTTTGAAGAACTACTTCAGCTAGAGACTCTACCTGGGAATGTAACAAATCTACGACAGACTGGAGGTTACTTAAATTAGCATCTACCTGTTGAGATAGGGCCATTATTCCAGTTTCTCCTTGAACTAGGGCTGCTGATCTGGCTATGCTAAGGCTGGCCAAGAAGGGAACTAGGAGCAGGGCAGCTAGCGAAACCTGGGATCTAACTCAGGGGGAGAAATGAGAAGTTGTCCTTCTGGTCCACTGTACACGTATACCCAGGGAAGTACATGAACTTACATGCACAGGAGAGGTCCTGGTTCAGTTCCATTAATGCAGTGAGTGAGACTTGAAGTGCAGGCCAACCAGGTATTGTTAGGCACTTGGTAAGAGACTGAGGTGCTTATGGAAGTAAGCAGGGACTGATTACAAGTAGTCTGAAAGGGAGAAGCAGATAAGTTATACCCGGTACTAATTAGACAAGAAGCGTTTCCAGACACATCCCTTAGTGTGAGGGCACAGGGTCGTGCACGACAAGATAAAGGGCCACTTTTAAGTGTGGCCTCTACTCCTAAGCCTACATAATAAGGGGGTTTTGCTTTTAGACATAGCCAACAATCTTGGGCTAGTTTAGGCTGGGTGAGGTTAAGAAGGTGATGTACCCTGCCTAGTATGGACATCAGGCTGTGTTGAAGATATTGTTGCTGCAGCTGGGGTTTAGGAACTAGGAATGGTGGCGGAACAGTTAAATCGACCTTGTCAGGGTGTTTTTGGAACATAGGGTCGCCTAGATCAGTTAAAGGCCTGATTGGCTTGGGTGGGCTCCATGAGACCAGGATTTTCTTCTGGATGGCGAACATAGTCTTAACATCAAATCCTGGGATATAAAGCCTTAATCCTTATGACATGCCATAATACCATCGAGCTGAATTAGGGTCATGGACAGTTATAGTAAGAGGATTACAATTTTTTCTAGTACACAATCTAGGATGGGAAGCACGACTTATGGAAAGAGTTGAAGATCCGGTTGATCTCCCAGAGTTAAGTGTCTAAAGTTACACGTGTCCAATCAGGGCAGAAAAACTGGTAAATATCTCAACAGCTAGAGTCAGGGTGATTTCCAGGACAGAGGTAAAAGTCAACATTCTGAAGTCCTTTTTCCGCACCTTTGGAGCTCCCACATCCAGTCTGGCTCCCGGAGTGTCCAAATCCTGCCAAAAGGTCAACGCTTCCTGCCCCCTTGACTGTCAGATTGTGTTACTCTTTGTAGGTACGGGCTGGTTCTGGGAACAGTGCACATAAATCAACTGCAAAGGAGACTTCCTTGGAGGTTCCTGCCCTCCAAGTACTGTTTGCGAATATACGTCTTGTCATGAAATAGGTGAGAAGAAGGGAATAGGAAGGTGCAGAGGACATGACAGGCAAAAACCAAAAAGAGAAGTAAATAAAAAGAATTAATCTAATGGCTTCACCCGACTTAGGCACAGTTTTAAGGGGCCTGACCCAGGCTTGGGGACCTATGTTTCTTGCTGGGCTTTGTTGGCCTTTTTGATGCGGGAGTGACGAATCCAAGCAGGAATGCCATCCACCTTCAGAGCTGTTGGCATGGTGAGGATGACAGTATGAGGTCCTATGTAAGCAGGAGTGAGTCCTTCTCTCTGGAACTTTTTAACAAACACCAGGTCACCTGGCTGGAATGAGTGGCAGGGCCCCATCTGGTCAGGAACCGGATTGGGATGGGCTCCTCGGAAAAGTGGCTGGATGATATCTTGTACCTGTTGGAGAGACTTTAGCTACTGTAATAAATTAGCTTGTGATATTTCTGCCAAATTGGTATCCCTTAGCTTAGGCAAGATAGGTGGAGCCTTCCTATACATGATTTCAAAATGTGAAAACCTAGCCCAGTAAGGAGTGCACCTTACTCTAAGAAAGGCTAAAGGAAGGAGCCTTACTCAGTTCTCACCGGTCTCTAAGATTAACTTTGTAAGAGTGCTTTTTAGGGTGCGGTTCATGCGTTCTACCTGCCCAGAGCTCTGGGGTCGATAGGCACAATGGAGCTTCCATTGAATGTGTAATGCCTTACTGACTGACTGAGCTATGGACGAGGTGAAGGCCAGTCCGTTATCAGACCCTATGGCAGCAGGCAGCCCATGTCGAGGGATGATTTCATTGAGTAAAAACCTAACTACCATGGTGGCAGTCTCATTCTTGGTGGCAAATGCCTCAGTCCATACGGAGAAGGTGTCTACTAGTACTAGAAGGTATTTGTACCTAGCCCGGTGTGGTTTTATTTCTGTAAAGTCAACTTCCCACCTTTCTCCTGGCAAGTTTCCTCAAAGACGGTGGCCTGGGCTGGGTTTAGCACCTTGCTTGGCGTTTACCTGGGCACAAGTTGTACACCGGAGAGCTGCTTGATCTGCTAAGCTTTGAAGATAGGGAATCTTAAAATGGCTCTAGAGGAGCCGGGCCAGTTTTGCTCCTCCTAAATGGGTGGTAGAATGCAGGCGACTGATTAAAGTTTCCCCGAGAGAGCTCGGGGTATGAAGATTCTGGAGTCAGGAAGAATCCACCAACCTTCCTGATTTTTATTGGCCCTGAGATCTGAAGCTAGTTTTTTTTCTTCCGTTGAGTACGCGGGATTGTAGGGCAGATCTGGCTGTGGAAAGGAGACTGTGGGTAATAAGTTTAGAGGCATGACTGGAAGTCTGGCTGCATCCCGGGCCGCTGAGTCAGCTTTCTGGTTACCACGGGCAATGGCCGTGTTTTCTCCTGGATGTCCTTTGCAGTGGATTACAGCCACCTGCTGAGGGAGCCATACGGCTTCAAGCAGGGCTAGAATTTCTTCTTTGTTTTTGATAGTCTTTCCTGCTGAGGTGCCCACGCTCCTGATAGATGGCTCCATGTACATGTACAGTAGTTAAAGCATACCTGCTGTCAGTGTAAATGTTAATAAGTTTATCCTTACCCCATCGGAGAGCCTGAGTGAGGGCGATCAATTCAGCTTTTTGTGCCGAGGTATTTGCCGGTAAAGCCTGGGCCCATAGCACATCTGTCTTTGTAGTAATGGCTGCACCAGCCTTTCGTACTCCCTGTTTTGAGAAAGCTGCTACCGCCTGTAAACATGGCGGCGTCCACCTTCTTTAGGGGCACATCTTGGAGATCAGGTGGGCCAGTTTCTGTAGTTTCTAACAGTTCCTGGCAGTCATGGACAGGTGTAGTGAAGTCTGGATCAGGGAGTAAAGTAGCTGGATTTAAACACCTTCTGGGAGAGAAAGTCAAACGAGGCTGATCTAACAGTAAACTCTGATACTGCAGGATGCGAGCATTTGACATCCATTTGCCAGAAGCACTTCGTAATAAAGTCTCTACGGCATGAGGAGCGGTAAAGGTTAAATTTTGACCTAGAGTTAACTTATCAGCCTCTTAGACTAGGCTTGCTGTTGCCACTATGACTCGCAGACAAGTTGGCCATCCAGAGGCCACAGGATCCAGCCTCTTAGACAAATAGGCCACTGGGCATCTCCAGGGTCCTAAAGTCTGAGTAAGCACCCCCTTAGCAACTCCCTGGCTTTCGTGGACAAACAGGTGAAACGGCTCTGGGATATTTGGGAGGGCTGGAGCAGGGGCTTCAGTTAATGCCTTTTTCAGATTTTGAAAAGCCTGTTCTTCTGTGTCCATCTAAACTAGCCGGCTATTCCCTCCTGTAGCAGTGTACAGGGGCTTCGCAATCTCCGCGAACCCCGACATCCATAGGCGACAGTATCCTACGGCCCCCAGGAATTCACGTACCTGTCTCTTGGTGGTGGGAGTGGGGATTCGTAGGATGGCTTCTTTCCGGGCACTGGTGAGTGCCCTTTTTCCTTGGCTTATGTCGTATCCTAGGTAGGACACTGTGGGAAGACAAAGCTGGACCTTCTTGGCTGAGACTCGATACCCGAGCTCCTGAAGGAGGTAAAGTAGGTCCCTAGTATGTTGCAGGCAACTGTCTTTAGTTTCAGTAGCTAATAAAAGGTTGTCCACCTACTGAAGAAGAGTACAGTTAAGGTGACTAGCTTGGAATGGTATAGGATCCTGCTGGAGGGCCTCTCCAAAAAGGGTGGGGGAATTTTTAAAACCTTGAGGTAACTGAGTCCAAGTCAATTGGGTAGTGTCTCCTGAGCTAGGATCTGTCCATTCAAAAGCAAAGATCAGTTGGCTCTTGGGGGCCAGAGAAATAGCAAGGAAGGCATCCTTTAGGTCAAGGACAGTGTATATACTGTAAGTTCTGGCGGGAGCAGGTTGAGTAGAGTATAAGGATTGGGGACAGTTGGATGGACAGTAACAGTCTGTTTGTTAACTTCCCTTAAGTCCTGTACCGGCTGGTAATCATTCGTTCCGGGTTTCTGGACCGGCAAAAATGGAATATTCCAGGCGGACTGACACGGTGTGAGTATGCCAGCTTGTAACAGTCATTGAATATGGGGATTAATCTCCTGTCTAGCCTGCTGACTCATAGGATATTGCTTTACCTGGACAGGCAAGGCAGTGGCCAGGAGTTCTACAACCACTGGTGGATGGTGTTTAGCCAGTCCTGGGGGGTTTGACTGGCCCAAACTCTGGGAAAGAGTGTCTGTAAGTCCAACAGGAGAGGATTAGTATTATTTTCCAGTGGTTGTGATGGTGACACTAAAAGATTTTCCTCTGACAGAGGGGTAGTTAGCAGGAGTTGGGCAGTGGGGGGCGCTGTATTTCCTAGCATGACGTTAGCCTGCTGGGCTGAGAAGGAGATAGAGGCCTGTAACTTATGGAGCAGATCTCCTCCGAGGAGAGGAAAAGGACACTCTGGAACCACAAGAAATGACTGTCTCACTCTTTTCTGTCCCAAGCTCACTTCTCGTGAGTGTGTGACAGGATATTCCTGAATAGCTCCAGTAGACCTTTGTACAGCCACTCTTTTATTAGAGACACTGCCCAAGGGGGTCTGTAGTACCGAGTGCTCCGCCCCGGTAGCTACTAGGAAGCGTACAGGCTGGCCCCTCACTGTAGCGGTCACCGTGGGCTCCTGGGGGCCAAGAGAGAGGGAGTCCTGGCTCCATCAGTCATCAGACTCTTCCGTTGCGGGGAGGGTGAGGGCCTTTTTCTTTTCTGATTTTTCCTCTGGCCGTAGTGGGCATTCCTTTTTCCAGTGCCCAGTCTGCTTGCAATAAGCACATTTGTCCTTTTCTAGGGGAGCCTGTTCTCCTCTTTTGCCCTTCTGGTAGGGACCTGAGGTTCCCTGGCTATTCCTCTGTGATGGGGGCCTTCCCTTCTTGACCTCTCCGATGGCCGCAGCTAAGATTTTTGCTTGTCTTTTGTATGCTTTATCAGCTGCTGCCTGTGCTGTTTGTTTTCTTTTTTCAAACTCTCGATTGTCAAAAACTTTTTGGGCTATCTCTAAAAGCTGAGTGATATTCATCCCAGGAAATCCCTCCAGTTTTTGGAGTTTTCTTTTAATATCAGGGGCTGCCTGAGCCACAAATGCCAAATTAAGAGCACGGCTATTTTCGGGAGCCGCCGGGTCAAAAGAGGTGTAAGTCCGATAGGCCTCCTGGAGGCGTTCTAAAAACGCTCCCGGTGACTCATCAGGCCCTGTGCGACTTCAGTCATCTTAGACAAGTTTATGGGTTTCTGAGCAGCTCCTTTGATACCTGCAAGGAGATACCGGTGAAAATCGTCCAAAGCTTTCTTCCTACCCGAGGAATTCGTGTGCCAGTTAGGCCGGGTAGAGGGAAAGACCTCCTCAAGAAAGTCTCTAGCTTCCTCCTCTGGCCTATTGGCTGATGTGAGGAAATACTTTCTGGCCTCTCTTCGGATATGTTCCCTCTCTTCAGAGGTAAAAAGGGTCAAAAGGAGCTGCTGACAGTCATCCCAGGTGGGCCGATGGGTCCGGAGCACAGACTCCATCAGTGAGATCAAGACCTGGGGCTTTTCAGAGAAGGGAGGATTATGAGCCTTCCAGTTACAGAGGTCAGAAGGAGAAAAAGGGACATAAACCAAGAATGGGGCTGAGCGCTCATCACCCGGAGGGACTTGTGCTTCTTTCCGCGGTAGAGGGGGGGCTACTTCCTCCTGCCGCGGCCGCAATCGAGAGGCAATAGGCGGCGAGCCTACAGGGGATGTAGTCGAGGAGACAAGGGAAGATTCTAAGGGAGCAGGACGGTTATAAGGCGGCGGAACTGAGTGGGGGAGACTCTCCTCTTCTTCAGAGGGAGGCAGTACAGGGTGAGCCGAACAGACTGAGGGTCCAGGCGGAAGTGCGGTCTGGCTCAAAACGACCTTGGAGGCAGAATTATGAATGGCGCATGAGCGGAGCCATGGTGGGGAGCTTCTGACCAAACTCAGCCATTGATCAATGTGGGGAAACTGATCGGGGTGGCCGGGAGTTCCAGCAACAACCCGCCACACAGCCTGAACAATTGCTAGGTTCAGTGACCCTACTGGGGGCCATCCGACTCCAAACTTTGGCCATTCTACTTCGCAGAGTGTCCGGAGTTTGCCTTTTTAAAGGCGGACCCCATAATCCTCTGAGAAGCCTAGAGAAAAATTCTGCAGCATACATTGGAGGGGGCTCCAATCCTTACAGGGCCGGGAAGAGGAGTTTCCCATTTTTGGAGGCAGTTTGACAAGGTTTGAGCAGGGATATCAAACCCAGCACGGACAGAAAAACTCATTCCCTAGGGGGCTGGAGTATCGGAAGAACAGAATTAACATAACCAGAAGGAGCCGAAAGACAACAATAGCTCACACTACTTGCCACAGGACGGTTAACTAGCTTTAAGATTGAGGGAGGTCGGGCGCAGTGGCTCACGCCTGTAATCCCAGCACTTTGGGAGGCTGAGGCGGGCGAATCACGAGGTCAGGAGATCGAGACCATCCTGGCTAACACGGTGAAACCCCGTCTCTACTAAAAATACAAAAAATTAGCTGGGTGTGGTGACGGGTGTCTGTAGTCCCAGCTACTTGGGAGGCTGAGGCAGAAGAGTGGCCTGAACCTGGGAGGCGGAGCTTGCAGTGAGCTGAGATCGCGCCACTGCACTCCAGCCTGGGCGACAGAGAAGACTGTCTCAAAAAAAAAAAGAATAATTATCCAAGATTGAGGGAGGAGGACTAGAGGCCAACCTTAGGTCTCCTTGGCTGGATGGACCTAGGCGTCCTCCCTCTTTCCCTGGACCTGTAGCCTAAATACTTTTGGTGTCTCCACGACTCAAAGGCAAATAGCTCAAATTCGGCCTTTTCTTTTAAGAGTTTGAGGAGTGAGAGCAGAGCCAAGTCCTGGAGACGCTGAACTTGCTGTGACACGGGAAAACGAGATGTACGGGGTAAGTGGTAGGGATGAGGAGGAAAAAGGGCCACTCGGATCTTTCCTAGGGTAGGAGAGTAGCCACAGAGGAATAGAATAAGGGTTTAAACGAAGTAAAGTGGTACGGGCGTAGGTTTCTCTGCACAGTGCCGTATTTAAGGGCACAGAAAAAGTTACGGGATGACAAAAGAGGTGAGCAAGGAGGTCTGCAGGGTGGCTATTTTGAACCTACCACCGGTTTAGTCTGGAGGTGGCCCAGTCACTTGGACATGGGGTATGACAATCTAAATGCCAGCAATCTTCATGGTGCCAGAAATCCCAAACAGGCGAATGTTCCTCACACTCGTTCCCGTTCCCGTAACAACACCTGATTTGTTTCTGACAGAAAAGGCAGGACTGGGATGGCCAGCCTAAGCGATTGATGAGAAATTTAACCTCCTGTGATAAAAAATCAACACTAAAGACCTTGAAGAAGTTCCTGCCCAGACGTCTTGGGCAGTATCGATGACCTGACATACGAAACTTTGACAACCACTAAACAGGACAATAGACACCGAGCAGGACAACAAACACAAAACAAACAATAGACCCTTGGGTATATAAACAATTATGGTAGGTTTTTATTAGACAGACAAGGGGAGGGGGTCCCATGATGGGATCAGTCAGATGCCTGCCTGGCCGCTCCCCCTGAGGGGACTTGGGCTTCTCTTAGCATTGGCAGGCAGGTATAAACCCCCGGCTCGGATGGAGCTATGCCCGATGCTGCCTTAAGCCTTATGAGGTCGCCACGGAACGGCAGGTGAGGGCCCACTCGAACTCCGTAGCTTTCGCCGTGGAGCTACAAACTGGGGATCCAGAGGCAGGCCCCTGGACTCCTCAGTCGTGCACACATTCACAAAGAGTTTATAACAATTTTTGTTATTTCCCGTTCTAAACAAAGGTCCCAGAAGACCTGAACGAGAGGAGGAGAAGAGATAGAGCAAGGGGGAGAGAAAGAAAAAGAGGAGGAGAGAGTGAGAGACTAGTCTTAATGGAGAGGCCGGCCTGCCAGAAACCAGGGCTCTATCCTCCAGCGTCCTGGAGTATGGATAGAGTCAAAGAGAGGGACACCGTCGTCAGGGCTGCCTCCCTCTCACCAAACCAGAACCAAAAGGCGCCTAACAGAAAAACCAGGGCTCTGTCCTCCAGCGCCCTGGAAAAGCGGGCAGTGTCAAAGACAGGGATGCCCTCGTCAGGGCTGCCTCCCTCTCACCAAACAGAAGTCAAATCTAACTTACCTGACCCCGGGGTCAGAAGCTGAGGACTCAGAGGTTGAATTTTGTGGGCACACACACACGGTAGTCGATCCGCTGTCCTCCGGAAGACGGTCGCCTTTCGGGGACCTGGAAAATTTTTTTTCAGGTGGCTCCTCGCCTATAAGCCGGCCGTCCCTCCGGGGGAGCCCGGAGCTAGCCCGGCTCTCGCCCAGTGGCGAATATATCTCGCTGGGGCTTCCAAATGTTGTACCCGAGCGAGTTAGAGAAACGCCACACTTCGAGACGAATTTAAGAGTCCTTCATTAGCCGGCGACCGACAGACGACTAACGCTCGAAATTCTCTCGGCCCCGAGGAAGGGGCTTGATTTTCCTTTATACTTTGGTTTAGAAAGGGGAGGGGGAGCTTAGTTGCAGCAATTCTACAGAAGTAAAAGCATGCAAAAAAATTAAAAAGACAAATGGTTACAAGGAAACAAACAGTTCCAGGTGCAGGGGCTCTAAATCTATCATAAGGCGTTAGGTATGGGGGCTCTCCCGGACACAAACTCAAAGCTTTATGGTGTTATCTCTTGAGCGAAATCCTGGTAACTTCGTAAATTGCTTGCTTCAGTACCTTATCAGTTAATTGGACTCTTTGATATGTAAGAGTCAGCTTACACAAGTTAACTGCTTGAGGAAGGGGGTGGGTAAGGAGTCTTTGACGTCTTGTAAATGAAGGAGCCAAAAGGAGTACTTCCGGCTTTCTCAGCTAAGGAAGAGCCTATTCATGTGGAAACAAGGCTAGGCGATTAAGGGAGAGTCTAAAAACAAGGTTAGGTACTACAAAGTCGCGGTAAAATCGGTGTTAACTACGTGTGCAGCCACCTTTTCCTTAGTGCTATTCCTGAAGGAAATAATGTATACAGTGATCTATTTCCAAGACAAAGTGCCTTAAATTGGCTTAGGTCAGCAAAGTACAGAAGAAACAGGGTATACTAGGTCCCTGCTTGGATAGCGGATGCCTGCTTGTCGCCCCCCTCTTTCCTCCCCCTTCCCATCCCCCATCCTTGGTGGCCTTCACCCAAACAAAAACAGTTTAGTCTAAGATATAAGTTTACTAGTCTGCAAAATAGCTCACTTTGTCTGTTCTTATCAGCCTGCCCAGCTACTTAGGTCATAAGTCAAACACTTAAAGAGCCCTTGAGCTAACCAGGATTGCAATGCATTGTGGGCTGCAACAAAATGCAGCAAGACAACCCTAAAAAAGAGACACCTAAAGCCTTTGCCTAACAATCAGTAGGCAAACGCCGAGAAAATTGTAACCCCATAGCACTCAGCCTATGAGGAACCTGGGGAGGGACTTGCGCACTAGGGGACAAATTGCTTGTTGAAACTGTTCTGGGTGTGCCTGCACGCCAGACACCCGATCTTGATCTCTCAAGACCGTCATTAAAAGTCTCACTTTCGCTGTTCTCCGGGTCTCTGAGTCCATTCTTTGGGTTTAGATGGATGAGTTTATTTTCTCACATAACAGCTGCAGAGGTGGTACAGGTGAATCCCTCTCAAGTCAAGTGGGTTAACCTCAAAATTGACTTAAGGGGTGGTTTGTGATCGCCTGGTAGATGGTGGACGGTTACAGCTTTTAGAAAGTGAGTAAAAGAGATGATGCATACAGAAGCCCCACTGGGTTGCTTAGCTTCTGCACATGGAGAAAGAGGCTGCTTTTCTGCCTTCTAGGTGTTTAGTAACTTAATTTTTAATCCTTTGATGAAATAGAGTGGAAAATAAAAGGAGATTTTCTTTTAACAAAATAGTGTTAAGATGCTTGCCAAGTATCCCCCTGTGAATTTCTGCTTAGCACTGTGATATCAGAATTAGAAATTGTGCAGGGTTCTAATCTGGAGATATGGGATGTTCAGTAGCTAAGAAGGAAGTTATTCCTTGAAAGTAAGTACAGTGAGGTAGAAAAGGATCCATTGGGATTGGGAGAATAAAAGTTCATTATTTTTATTTATTAAAAAAAACAAAACAAAACAAAGAAATGAGGTTTTGGCTGGGTGCAGTGGCTCACGCCTGTAATCCCGGCACTTTGGGAGGCCAAGGTGGGCAGATCACGAGGTCAGGAGATTGAGACCAGCTTGGCCAACATGGTGAAACCCCATCTCTACTAAAAATACAAAAAATTAGCCAGGCGAGGTGGCAAGTGCCTGTATTTCCAGCTATTCAGGAGGCTGAGGCAGGAGAATTGCTTGAACCCAGAAGGCGGAGCTTGCAGTGAGCCAAGATCGCTCCACTGCAGTCCAGCCTGGGCAACAGAGTGAGACTTCATCTCAAAAAAAAAAAAAAAAAAAAAAAAAAAAAAAAAAAAAAAAGAAAGAAAGAAAAAAGAAAAAAAAAAGAAGAAACGAGCTTCTACCCTAGATGGATCTTGGACTCTGGAGTTCAGAGAGCTTGCCATTTCAGACCAGAAACTTCCTTAAAGAACCAAGAGAAGTAATTTTCTCCCTGCTAAATTTCAGCTGAGGTGATTGAGATCTTTTCCTCATTTGTCATTATATTTGTCATTTGTCCTTATGTTTGTAGTTAAATAGCTTGGATTAAGTTTCAGAATTTGTCGGTCTCTAATGGAAAAAGTGACCACCAGCACATCACCAGCAATCATCAGCCACTTGTAGTGGAATCTTTTAGTGAAAGCTTGCAGGACTTTTGCAACCTGGGTGAGGAAGCAGTTAGAAGAAAGTAAGAAACGCAAAAGAACTTGAGCCTTAACCTTCTGATCTGAAATCAGACTTAGGTCACAGAATTCAATGGTTTCTGACTATTTTATTTAAACTGGAAATCGGCGGGATGGCAAGGAATACTACTTGCTTCTATAGTGTGTGATCCACATTAGTGATTTGTGGAACTAATTAGGACAGGGGGATAATTCTAAGCAACAAAGAACTGTAAGTGAATGAACACGAATTATCTCCCTGTATGAGAGAGAAATGCAGAGGCCAACACAATTCCCTTGAATAGGTGGGGAATATCATGGAGAACTTCCTAAGGTGGCTCATAGGAAAAAAAAGAGTGGAAATACTGGAAGTTGAACGCAGGACCTCACGCATGCTAACCACGTGCTCTGTCCCTGAGCTATACCCCCGCAGGAGATCAGGAGCTTGGGAAAATGTTTTGGTGATCTCCGTTGCCTGAGTCTGTGCTCTGTGTCATCAAGACAATCACTGTATGTTTCCAATTCCACTGTTTATGAATTCCCGACACTAAGCGCCCTCTCTCTCTCTCTCTCTCTCTCTCTCTCTCTCTCTCTCTCTCTCTCTCTCTCTCTCGGGCATGGCTACACCAGGAGAAAGATATCTTGTGGTAAAAACAAAGGCATTGTTCCTGATGTTCCTGATTTGTGGTCAGTCCAAGATCAACTCACCCCAAAGTGGTCTCCCCATCATATTAGACTTTCTGGAGCATAATTCCATTCTATCCCTTGAGTGACCTCCGGCATACAACATTCTCTTGCAAATTTTCTGATTATAACTTTTTTCTTTTGACTCTGGGAAGCATCTTAGTGTTTCCCATAGTCAAAAAATAAAACTCAGGTATGTGTGAAAATACCCTAAAATTCAGTACAAATAGAGGCAAATTAACTGCATTTCAAAAGAATAACATAACCACATTGAAGAGGAAAGAACTGATATAAGAAAATGGTTTACACAGATTGTTGTTCTAATTGTGAGATCAAAAAGAACATCGAACAAATCTTAAACTCTATGTATCAGGATTATTTTTTGTAGAGTGAGGGCTGTAGCAATTCTGATATTTTGTGTGAATTTTAGGATTGGGAAATCGAGTGTCTGTTGTTGGAAACAGACTCTCACTGTGGGAGAAGAAGGAAGGTAAAGAATAGTCCTGTTGATACTGATGGGAATTAGAGGCATCAGTATGAAATTGTACATATGAAATTGTAAAATTTCCCCACAGATCTATCTGCTAACTGGGCCTAGAAGAAATGATACCTCAGAAGCAATGAGCAAAGATAACTCTGTATCTTGATTTTCAAATACCATTCCCTACTAAAAGGAACCAGAGATACTAATAGAAAGTAGCTATTAGTGTCAACTACACAGACTCCAGGACTGTGCCAGGGAAACTGCAAAATGAACCTAAGATATCTTGCCTTGCCAGAATGTAAGTGCTCAGAAATGACGGGGGTGATTTAAAAGGACACAGAAGCCAGCTTGAAGGGAATCTCACTGGCCAAATCTGACACACTTTTAGCATCAGTGATGACAATAACTGATTATCATTCTTGGGAACTTAAACAAATAAATATGGAGGACGGGACGATTTTCCTTACAGTGGTTTGCCAAATGATAAATGTGAAAGTGAGTGCCGGGCGCAGTGGCTCACGCCTTTAATCCCAGCACTTTGGGAGGCTGAGGCGGGTGGATCACGAGGTCAGGAGATCGACACTATCCTGGCTAACACGGTGAAGCCCCCTCTCCACTAAAAATACAAAACCTTGGCCGGGCGTGGTGGCGGGTGCCTGTAGTCCCAGCTACTCGGGAGGCTGAGGCAGGAGAATGGCGTGAACCCGGGAGGCGGAGCTTGCAGTGAGCCAAGATTGCGCCACTGCACTCCAGCCTGGGCGACAGAGCGAGACTCCGTCTCAAAAAAATGAACAAAGAAACAAAGTGAGGATAAAATTTAAAAATCCCCATTTAAACAATACCATCAGAATGATGATAGATGCAGGCAAAATTTGTAAGTTAATGTTAAAGTATAGGTAAAAATTTGATGAGGATCAGGATATTTACGTAGTCTCAGAGTATTTCCCTGTAGATTATTTATTAATTACAATGAGGAAAATGATAATTTTTCAGGGAAGAAACAGTAATTACAAACTTAAAATCAAGTGATCAAGCTAACTTCAGTCAGCTCATGCCTCTTGGTGTGAGAGAGGGTAATAACGTGATTTCTGTGACATTTCTCCCAAATTCCATAACCCGATGTAATCTTATCATGGCTAATACAGATTAAGAAACGTTGCACAAAACCACTGGAAAAACTCTTCAAAAACATGTCGGTGTTGTGAAAGACAAGAAGATTAAGAAACTGTTCCAAATTAAAGGGCACTAAAGAGTCAAGACAACTAGATTCATATGTGATTCTGAAATGGATCCTAGCTTGGAAGAGAAATTTCTATAAAAGTTTTTATTGGTACAATTAGACAATTTTTAATAGACTTTATATTAGACTATATTCACATTTATCAATGTCAAATTTACTGAACTTGATAATTGTGTTGTGTTAAGGAATTGACCTTTTTCTTAAGAAATACACATTGAAGTATTTAAGAATAAAAAGATATGATGTCTGAAAATCATTATCAAATAGTTTAGAGAAATAATCTTTGTCTGATATATATATATAATACATACTACATATATATGATATGTATTCCAGTATTGTTGATTTGTCATTGAGGAAAAGATGTTTTGAAATTATCCCAAGATTTGAACAATATATGCTTCTCAGATGGTCCCACTTTATTTTAAATGTTGCAAGGCAGAGACAAAGGTACAAATTTCTCAATTTGTATTAGAATTTAGAAGGTGTTTTATTCTATTTTCCTTGTCACACTCCTTGCTTGTGAGTCAATCAACTAAGGACATCTGAAAGAGACAGAGTTTCTTTCTCAGAGTCAGGAGGTAATGAGGGGCTGCTCTGGTAGGGAAAGAAATAGTGAAGTTCTTTTTTGGAGAAAAGCAGCAAAAAAAAAAGAGAGTGACAGGAGAAAAAGAAAGAAAGAATGGAAGGAAGGGAAGGAGGAAAAGAAACAGTAAAGTTGACAAACAGAACTCCCTTCCCTCTTTATTAGTCTTCAGGAAATATAGAGTTTGAAACTATCATAGCCCAGGAAACCCTTTAAATAGGGCCATCAGTAGGCCAGAAATTTTGATTAGTGCCTTGAAAATAAAAGCATAGCCGGGCGCGGTGGCTCACGCCTGTAGTCCCAGCACTTTGGGAGGCCGAGGCGGGCGGATCACGAGGTCAGGAGATCGAGACCATCCTGGCTAACACAGTGAAACCCCGTCTCTGCTAGAAATGCAAAAAATTAGCCTGGCGTGGTGGCGGGCGCCTGTGGTCCCAGCTGCTCGAGGAGGCTGAGGCAGAGAATGGCGTGAACCCGAGAGGCGGAGCTTGCAGTGAGCTGAGATCGCGCCACTGCACTCCAGCCTGGGAGAGAGAGCGAGACTACGTCTTAAAAAAAAAAAAAGAAAAAAGAAAGAAAGTAAAAGCAGAAGTGATTAGACGGACAGGAAACAGCAGAGGAAATGGCTGCTGTTTCACTACAGTTAAAATGTCTTACACATCTGTGAACTATTTGTCCTCTTCTCAGAGGAGGGACACTTTTTTAGGTACTAAAAAAGAATTGTCTGGCACTTCATGGCAGCAACATGTTTGATGTTAACTGACATTTCCAGACATCCAGGTATGATTTTTATTTAGCGACTTTAAAAGAAGGATGAGAAAAAAAACAAAAAAACAAAAACAAACCATGAGCCAGGCGTGGTGGCCTGCATCTATAGTCCCAGCTACACCTACTCAGGAGGCTGAAGAGGAGGCAGGAAAACAGCTTGAGGTCAGGAGTTGGAAGCCCCAGTGCTCTACGATTGCCCTGGTGAATAGCCACTGCACTCTAGTCTGGTCATCAAAACAAGATCCCGTCTATTAAAAATAGAAAGAAAATAAAGGAAGAAAGAAAAGAAAGGAAGGAAGAAAGAAGGAAGGAGCGAGAGAGAAAGAAAGGAAGGAGAGAGGGCAAAAGGAAGAAAGGAATGGAGGGAGGGAGAGATTGACAGAACAGATTAGAAAACATAATCCAACTATACACTATCTAAAAGAAACTCATTTCAAATATAATTATATAAGCAGGCTGAAATTAAGGGGATAAAATATATTACATGCAAAAGTTAATCAAAAGAAAGCAAAAGTGACTATATTAATATAAACTTAAGAACAAAGAAAATCCACCAAGAAGGCATAACAATCCTAAATATGTATACACCAAACAGCAGAGCTGCAACATGTAAAAAAAAAAAAAAAAAAAAAAAACAGGACCGGGCGCGCTGGCTCACGACTGTAATCCCAGCACTTTGGAAGGCCGAGGCGGGCGGATCACAAAGTCAGGAGATTGAGACCATCCTGACCAACATGGTGAAACCCCATCTCTACTAAAAAAAAAAAAAAAAAAAAAAAAAAAAGCTGGGCGTGGTCGTGCGCCCTGTAGTCCCAGCTACTCGGGAGGCTGAAGCAGGAGAATTGCTTGAACCTGGGAGGCGGAGGTTGCAGTGAGCCAAGATCGTGCCACTGCACTCCAGCCTGGGCAACAAAGTAAGGCTCTGTCTCAAAACAAAACAAAACAAAACACCCAGACAGGGCGCAGTGGCTCACGCCTGTAATCCCAGCACTTTGGGAGGCCGAGGTGGGCGGATCACCTGAGGCCAGGAGTTGGAAAGTAGCCTGGCCAACATGGTGAAACCCGTCTCTACTAAAAATACATACATTAGCCGGGCATGGTGGTGCAGTGGCGTGCACCTGCAGTCCCAGCTACTAGGGAGGCTGAGGCTCGAGAATTGCTTGAACCCGGGAGGTGGAGGTTGCAGTGAGCCGAGATGGTGCCACTACACTCCAGCCTGGGTGACAGAGCGAGACTCTGACTCATAAATAAATAAATAAATAAATGTAATACATAAATAAATATTTTAAAAAACAAAAAAGATAGAATTAAAAAAATCGACAAATGCAGTTACATTAGAGACTTCACTTCTCTCTCTCTCTTTTTTGTGAATTTGTTCTTATTGGGGAAGACGGCACAGGGTGGGAAATGTCGCCTTGGGCTATGGTATGCCCCACCTCCCAGAGAATGTCCATTTGCATTCTAATCTTCCTGGGATGCTTTATGGAACTTTTTCTTCTTCTTGGAGCTGCTCTTGCCAGCCGCCTCTTCAGGCCCACTGCTGACCAGCTCCTCTTTGGAGAATTTCCTCGTTTTCTTGGAGCCACTTCTGTGGCCTGACTCTTCGGTGTCATTAACTGTTTCCTCCTTGGGTGAAGACTTCTTCCTCTTGGGAAGACTGGTGCTGCCAGCGGTCTCTTCAAGATCGCTACTCATCAACTCCTCCTTGGAAAAAGATTTCTTTTTCTTGGGTTTGGAGAAAGAGATAGATGGGTCTTCCATTCCATTCTCCTGATGAATCTCCTGGGGCTTTTGCTTTTTCTTCTTTTTGGGTTTTTCAATCGTCTCCTCACACGCTCTGTCGCCCAGTCTGGAGTGCAGTAGCGCAATCTTGGCTCACTGCAAGCTCCGCCTCCCGGGTTCACGCCATTCTCCTGCCTCAGCCTCTGCGTAGCTGGGACTACAGGCGCCCGCCACCACGCCCGGCTAATTTTTTGTATTTTTAGTAGAGACGGCGTTTCACCATGTTAGGCAGGGTGGTGTCCATCTCCTGACCTGGTGATCCACCCGCCTCGGCCTCCCAAAATGCTGGGATTACAGACGTGAGCCACCACGCCCGCGCCATTTCTCTCATAATAACAGAAAAACTACACAGAAAATCTGCAAGGATATTGAAGAACCCCAAATCATCTTCAGGCAACAGAATTCAGTCACCATGTATAGAACAGTCCACACAAGAAAAGCAGAACACGCATTCATTTCAAATTCATACGTAACGTAGATCAAGATAGAACATACCTCATACCTTGGGCCTCAACAAATTTAAAAGAATTGACTGACATAGTATGATCCCTAACCACAATGAAATCAAACTAAAAATCAGTCACAGAAAGACAACAAAAATATCCAAACACTTGGAAAATGAACAACACACTACTAAATATTCCATAGGACAAAGAGAAAGCCTTAGTAGAGATCAAAAAAATAAATTAACCTGAATAAAAATGAAAACACAATGTATCAAAATTTCCAAGACAACTTAATCTCTGAGAGAGAAATTTACAGCACTAAGTGCATACATTAGAAAAGAAAAAAGTCGGCCAGGCGCGTGGCTCACGCCTGTAATCCCAGCACTTTGGGAGGCCGAGGCGCGTGGATTACAAGGTCAGGAGTTGGAGACCAGCCCGGCCAAAAAAAAAAAAAAAAAAAAAAAAAAAAAAAAAAAAAAAAGAAAGAAAAGAAAAAAGTCTCAAATCAGTCCTTTAAGCTCTTACTTGAAGAACTCAGGTGGGGGAAAATAACCCAAAGCAAATAGAAGAAAGGAAATGAGCAGAAATAAACGGAACTGAACACACACGCACAAAATAGAAAAACAAACAAAAAGCTAGTTCCTTTAAAAGATCAATAAAAGAAGACCTCTAGGAGGACTGATAATTTTTTAAGAAGAGAGATGACACAAATTGCCAATATCAAGAATAAAAAGAAGAGTATATCACTATAGACTCTGCTGACATCAAAAGGGTAAATGAATACTATGAACAACACTTTACACACAAATTTGAAAACTTAGATGAGATGGACTAATTCCTTGAAAATCACAAACTATCACAACTCACTCAATATGAAATATATTTTTCTATAACCTTGTAACTACTAAGGAAATTAAATTTGTGATATAAAAACTTTAAAAAAAAAACAGACTCTTCAGGTTCAAGAAAGTTTCACTGTATAATTCGTCGCCCCCGCCCTCCACCCCCTCCCCCAGAAGGAGTCTTGCTGTGTTGCCCAGGCTGGAATGCAGTAGTGCAATCTGGGCTCACTGCAACCTCCACCTTCCAGGTTCAAGCGATTCTCCTGCCTCAGCCTCCCAGGTAGCTAGGATTACAGGCACGTGCCAGCACGCCCGGCTAATTTTTGTATTTTTAGTAGAGATGGGGTTTCACCATGTTGGCCAGGCTGGTTTCCAACTCCTGGCCTCAGGTGATCCGCCTGCCCCGGCCTCTCAAAGTGCTGGGATTGCAGGCATGAGCCACCGCCTATGCCAATGTAGGCATATCTTAAAAGGATACATGACCTGGGGATACTTTGAGTATTCAGATTAATTAATTTTTAAAGTGTTTTTTAAATTCTCCCTTCTTACATCTTCTTTTCCTTCTGCCTTCAAGGGCTGTCACACGAAGAGTAGCGTAGGTGGATAAAAAAACAGAATGGTCAGTACCGCCTGGGGGATTTAGGTCCAGGTGAGGAGGTGAGAAGGTGGAATTCCCAGCTCTTAGAAATGAAGACCCAGGAAGTGGGTCGCTGCCTGTCCTTACCCTCGCCAGCCCCTGGGCCGGCACCGTGGCTGAAACCCAGCATGGATTTCATCTTGGGGACGTTGTGGCTCCAGTTTTGAGACTCAAGTAACGATGGATGGAGAGGAGAACAAGGACCACCTGAGCTCGACCACAAGAGCTCGAGGAGGGAAGCAGGGACGCGGTGGGGTGCGCACCTGCGGCTGCGGCAGCAAAGGCGGAGGAGGAGCGAAGTGGACGAGCACCCGAGGCTGCCAGAGGATCTGGGCAGCCTGGGTGCCCATCTCTGCTGCGTTTCCTCGGTGTCCACGATAGGTGAGAGGGCTCATTCCCTGTAGGAGAAGTGAGCTGAAAACACTTTCCCCGCAAGATCTCCCTCGTTTTACTCAAGGTAGTCGCGGCGTTGAGAACGCCTCGCAGCTCCTTTACTGGCTGGGGTACTGGGGAGCAGGGGTACCCTTGAGTTTTGGTACAGGCGGGTGGTATTGGTGGCTTCCGAGGAAAGGACAGAGAAGCCGCCTATTTCCAATCCCTACTGTTCGTCAGGGGGAGAGTGTTGAACCAGGTCTCTCTAGACCCTCCTGCTTAAGCCCCTTTGTTATAGGTAGGAGAGTGTGTTCTGTTTTGGTATTTGAGTGTGTGTGTGTGTGTTTAGCTTCTTGAGCTTGGAATATGTCATGAAATACAAGAAAGATCAGGGAGTCTCAGTATATTTTAAACTTAAATTGGTTTTCAGAAGTACTTATACCTTGTTCCTAAGGAATTCAGGGTGTCCAGATTTCAACCTGCCTAGCAGTGCGAAGCTCTATGAGTCGAATATCCTAGGCTTTCTTCCATATCAGCAAGCCTCTGAAATTTAGGTTTCTTTCTGGAGAATATCACCCACACTTTGGCAGTGGGCTCCTACATTGCCTACATCCAACTCTTGGAAGCAAGAAGAGTGGGCAAAACCAAGGTCACCACACAAAAGTATATCCCTACACGAGATAAGTGGAAATAAAGCACTGGCTTAGGTGTGGAGAGGAAGAGACAAATGTGAAAACGCAGAAGGTAGACAGACAGAGAACATCTTCCAAGGAGGAAGAGTCTCCTAACCACAAGGAACTCTCTACTTAATGCTGCGAAGATATTTTAATTACATTTTATGCATTAGATTGCTTTTTTTGTTTGTTTTTGTTTTTTGTTTTTGATGGAGTCTCGTTGTGTCACCAAGCTTGAGTGCAGTGGTGCCATCTCGGCTCACTGCAATCTCCGCTTCCCAGGTTCAAGGGATTCTCCTGCCTCAGCCTCCCCGTAGCTGGGACTACAGGCATGGCCATCATGCCCAGCTAATTTTTTATTCTCCTGCCTCAGCCTCCCCGGCCACCATGCCCAGCTAATTTTTGTATTTTTGGTAGAGACGGGTTTCACCATGTTGGCCAGGAATGTCTCGATCTCTTGACCTCGTGATTCACCCGACTTGGCCTCCCAAAGTGCTGGGATTACAAGCATGAGCCACCGCCCCCAGCCACATAGACTGGGTTTTTAACAACTGGATCTTAGACCAGAATATTGGCAGAATTGGTGGGGGCTTGACAGAGAGCAGGGTGAATTCCAACCCTGAGGGTGGAGCAAGAATGATTACAGTGTCTTCCTCAGAGCTTAGAAACTTCCAAGCTCTAAGGAAAGGCCTTAGGTTTCAAATTGAAAGGCCAAAATAGCTTGAGATGGCTCCAGGTATTTTGGCTGGAAAGAGTCTCCTGGCTCTAAAGAACCCCTGTGAGTTCTTCTACAGGAAAATCAGAGGCTCTTGTGTGTGATCTCTAGTCATCTAAAATATTGAAGGTCTCAAAGAGGTAATAAATCCACTCTCATCCTGATGTAATGCAAATACGTCACTGGCTTTCCTACGTGGTTTGAGTTTTTTATTGAAAATAGGCAGGGAACCCCGGGAGCAACTCTTTCTCCTTAGCAAGCATCTGGCCCTGAACTCCTTCTGAAACTTCTAGAGCAGTGCTTCTCAAACTTTAGCATCAGAGTCACTTGAGGGCTTATTCAACACAGGTGGCTGGGTCCCACTCTCATCAATTCTGATTCTGTAGATCTGAGGTTGGGCCTGGAATTTGACATTCCACTAGTAGCACCCTAATCCCTCATGCCTTGCTCTCCTGTGCAGCATCCTTTGTGGCAAACATGACACTATTTCCTTAAAGTGCCTGGAGAGAACCAGTAGATAGTAGGGGGGAAATATTAAGAAATGAAAAGAAAATATATGGCATCTCTTCGTTACCTGTCTCCAAAAAATGCATCTTGAAACAAACATATGATTGGCCTGGGGGCACACAGCCAATCCTCAGCTAAGCAGGTTTCACCAGACAGTATCCCTCCTGGATACTGGTTATGGATATTTTCACCGGATAAAAGAATCAAGAAGTGAGGACATCCCAGCCTGATAGAGTGTTAGACTGGTGGATGGTGACAAACATCATACTCTGTTGCCTCTCAAAGATGCTTTGATTCAACAGCAAACATGTACAGAGGACAGCAATTTTGAAACATACAACATTGGAAACCCCTAAAAGGTATCATCAGTGAATAGGATTTCCTGGGAGTTCCCTGGTCATGCAATGCAATTGTGATGGGATTGACAGAGAAAGAACAAAAAAAATTTGTTTTCTTTTGTTTTTACCTGAGGAAGTGCTCAACACACCTGCGATCCACTCACCTTTTACTTTGCGTCTATTTTCCATTGTGACAGAAAAACTTTTCCTACTTTTTCACATGAGTCCTCCGTTGGCTGTTAACAGAGGTTTCCAGGCAATGTTTTATTTTAACAAGGAAAATGGAATGGCTGAGGAAATACAGGAAAATGAATCAATTGTATCAGTAGGGAATGTTGATCCGTATTGGTTTCTGCTCCTCTCATGTTGAAGGTCTCTTATTCCCTGACAGTCTTTGTTCGGTCATCCAGCGTCCTTCCACTCCCATCTCAAGCGGCTGGAGAGCCACAGCAGTCCTTGTCTCAGTATTGGATTACACTTGTGGCTGTGCTTTCTGCGCAGGTTGACAGGGAGAGACTGGAGGAGAAATCAGTGGACAGATGCTTTCGCTCTGTTCTTTGGCCCAGAAAACAAAACTAAAGTAAAAAAAAACAAAAAACAAACAAACAAAAAAGATGATGCTGGGAGCGGTGGCTCACGCCTGTAATCCCAGCACTTTGGGAAACTGTGGCGGGTGGATCACCTGAGGTCTGGGGTTCGAGACCAGTGTGGCCAACATGGTGAAACCCCGTCTCTACTAAAAATACAAAAATTACCCGGGCCTGATGGCACGCACCTGTAAACCCACCTGCCGAGGCAGAAGAATCGCTTGAACCCGGGAGGCAGCGGTTGTAATGAGCCAAGATTAAGCCACTGCACTCCAGCCTGGGCTACAGAGCGAGACTCTGTCTCCAAAAAAAAAAAAAAAAAAAAAAAAAGAATGGCCGCGGGGCGCTTTTCTCCCTTCTTCTTTGTCTTTCCTTCTCTTTAATCATAGCACAAAATGAGAGCAAATGTGAACCTCCCGTGGATGTGCACACTTTTGTTTGGGTTCAAGAGACCCTGTTGGGATCCCATTCTTCTTTCTTCCTCATTTCTTTTTCACCTTCCTTCTGCCGTCACAATCGCCTTCAGTGATGTCGAAGCTCACGGCATAGAAATGGGTTATAAATGGAGGCAACCCATTGGGTTACGTCTTTACTCTCTATATGTGCAGAAATAGGACAGAAAAAGGTGCGGAGGCAGAAGTAAGTCTATGTTGCTTGAGAATTAGGTTTGAGCACTACCAGAGCAAAAAGTCACCGTTTGGAGGTGCCGGGGATCGAACCCGGGACCTCATACATGCAAAGCATGCGCTCTACCACTGAGCTACACCCCCTTCCTGAAAAAAATCCTTCTTGTAATAATTTCCAGGAGGTAACTTTCTTTTTCTGAGTATTGTGGAGCGTCTGCAGCTGCTGTGAGTAGAAGATACTAGGTACTAACGGGGGATACAAATTATTTAGAATACAGTATACGACTTGAAATGGAAGGCGCCTGTAATCCCAGCTACTGGGGAGGCTGAGCCAGGAGAATCCTTGAACCCGGGAGGCGGAGATTGCACTGAGCCGACATCGCGCCACTGCACTCCAGCCTGGGCATCGGAGCGAAACTCAATCTCAAAAAAAAAAAAAATCACTTCCTAGGTTTCAGACTGTAAATAATTTATTTAATGTCAGCGCTTCATGGAAGACTTCACTGGAATATGCAACCAAAGCAGAGAGTGATGCATATATATATATATGCGTGTGTGTGTGTGTGTGTGTGTGTGTGTGTATTACCTTTATCGGATTTTCAACAGCAAAAAATTGGAGTTCTATACACCTTTCTGGGATTGGCATGCAAGTGTTGTATAAGGGTTGTATCAGCCGAGCGCTGTGTCTTACGCCTGTAATCCCAGCACTTTGGGAGGCCGAGGCGGGCCGATCACCTGAGGTCGGGAGTTCGAGACCAGCCTGACCAACATGGAGAAACTCCGTCTCTACTAAAAATACAAAATTAGCCAGGCGTGGTGGCGCATGCCTGTAATCCCAGCTACTCGGGAGGCTGAGGCAGGAGAATCGCTTGAACTCAGGAGGCGGAGGTTGCGGTGAGCCGAGTTCGCTCCATTGCACTCAGCCTGGGCAACAAGAGTGAAACTCCGTCAAAAAATAAATAAATAAACAAAATAAGGGTTCTATTAGGCAAAACTGAAAGAAAGAAAGAAAAAAAAAAAACCCTGCCGAAACCCGGGATCGAACCAGGGACCTTTAGATCTTCAGTCTAACGCTCTCCCAACTGAGCTATTTCGGCTTCCCGAATTTGTTGTTTTAGGTGTTTCTTCAAAATATAAAAACTCATTTGTAGGGTCAGTATATCTTCCAATTCTGTTGTCTTCAATATCACCTGTCATTCACTCACCCCTTCACCCCCAAAATATAGATTCTTCCCCAATTTATGTCTGAAAACAGGACCCAATTTTAAGGACAATGAATGGGTTAGCAAAAGCCAGGGAAAGAAAAGGCAAAAATGAAGAATAGAGCAAAGTAAGAACATGCTCCCCTACATGGTCACTGCTCAGAATACCAAGGGAATTCAAAAGAAAATTTTCTAGGCTTTTCCTTTTCTCTGGGCTCTTGTTTTTCTGTCTTGCTCTTCAACGATATGGCAAAAAGGAACAGAGGATTATTGGGCACGTTAATGTGGTGGCAGGTTTATAGCTTCTGACTAAGGAAATCCTGAGCGAGAAAATTCATTTTCGCTATTCCCTTCCTTTCACTCGTCTTGTGCTGACACATCCACCTTGGGTGGTACAGAGACCCAGGGAGTGGAAATGGAAAGTATAATATGTTTATTTTAGTGTGACCACGCAAGGCATGTTTTTAAAAGGAGAAAAGTACAGAGTGGCGAGAATTGTGAAAAACAGATGAACATGTATGCTTTTGAACTCTGTGCAAGGCAAGGACACACTACCACTGAGCCACACCTCTCTCGCTACAGAAACATCGTGAAGATCTTTTTTGACGCATTAGTCATATTTCTGAGAGGTCTTCAAAAATATGGTAAGTTGGCCGGATAGAAAATCCACTGTCTCATATCTCACTATTTCTTACCTCTAAACTATATCCCCTGAAGCTGCTAGGAGAAATGTAAGAGAATCACAGACCAGAACACAGTTTCTGCTTTTGGAACATTTCATCCCATCAGTTTATTCTGAGGTTTCCTCTCCAGCAAACTGCCTGGGGGCATTTTCTCCCACAGCCAACAGGTAAGATGTCCAGATGGAACTTCCTCTGGGGTCTTCAACCTGTCTGTCTCCATTTCTTCTCTTTCATCTGCTTACAAAGTTTTTCAAGCCCCATCCTCCTTAAGAAAAGATGATGAGCCACAGTCTAGGAGAAGATATTCCAATACTTATATTTTACTAAGGATCTTTATCTGGAATATGTTAAGAACTTCTACAAAGCACTAAGAAAAAGACTAAAACTTCAATAAGAAAGAGCAAATTAATATGAACTTCACAAAAAATCGCTATTGAGTAAAATAAAATATGCTCGACATCTTTTGCTATAAAGGAAATGCAAATTAAAAACACAACAATGCTGGACACAGTGGCTCACGCCTATACTCCCAGCAGTTTGGGAGGTCGAGGCGGGTGGATCACTTGAGGTTAGGAGTTCAAGACCAGCTGGCCAACATGGCGAAACCCGGTCTCTACTACAAATACAAAAATTTAGACGGCCACATGCCCCTGTAGTCCCAACTACTCAGGAGGCTGAGGCATGAGAATCTCTTGATCCTGGGAGGCAAAGGCTACAGTGAGCCAAGATTGTGCCGCTGCACTCCAGCCTGGGCAGCACAGCAAGACACTGTCGAAAAAAAAAACACAAAATAATATTGCTCTTCATTGGAATCATTTAACCCAAAAAGTGGATAATATCAAGTGTTGCTGAGTATGTGAAGCAATTGGAACGTGCATACATGGCTGATGAGACTGTAAACTGCTATATCTACACTGGGAAACTATCTGAAAATATCAACTAAATATATATATATATATATATATATATATATATATATATATATATATATGCTATGACCCCAAAACTAGACGGTTACATTTATACCCAAGAGAAGTGCATGAGCATCTCCCTTGAAGGACATGTATCAGAATGTTTACAGCAGCATTAGACATTTCAACCAAAAACGAGGGGTGCTGCAAATGTACTTGGACAGTAAAATGAATTAATAAATCATGATGTACAGTATTCAGACAATAGAATACTCGAGAGCAACAGAAAATAACTACTGTTACTAGCAACAATATATAGAAAATGAAGGCTGGGCACGGAGGCTCACGCCTGTAATCCCAGCACTTTGGAAAGCTGAGGCGGGCAGATCACGAAGTCAGGAGATCGAGACCATCCTGGCTAAAACAGTGAAACCCTGTCTCTACTAAAAATACAAAAAATTAGCTGGGCGTGGTGGATGGCACCTGTAGTCCCAGCTACTCGGGAGGCTGAGGCAGGAGAATGGCGTGAACCTGGTAGGCAGAGCTTGCAGTAAGCCAAGATCGCGCCACTGCACTCCAGCCTGGGCGACAGAGCAAGTCTCCACCTTGAAAAAAAAAAAAAGAAGAAAAAAGAAAAGAAAATGAATCTAATTTTTTTAACAAAAATTAAGTGAAAGAATCCATACTCAAATGAGTACAGATTTGCTGTGGTTTGAAAGTGTCCCCTCCAAAGCTTAGGTGTCACCATGTGATAATTATCAAGACATAGGGCCTTTAAGAAGATTAAGCCATGAGGGTTCCTTCCTCATGAATAATATTAGGTACCCTTATAATAAGAGTTGACAAAGGAAGTTCATCTCTCTATTGCCTTCAGTTTTCTGCCATGTGAGAACACAACAAAAAGGCCATCACCAGACATGAGAGCCAGTGACTTGATCTTGAACTTCCCAGCCTCCAGAACTGTGAGAAAATGTTTCTGGGCCTGGTGCAGTGGCTGTCTCCTGTAATCCCAGGGTTTTGGGAGGCCAAGGTGGATGGATCACCTGAGGTCAGGAGTTCGAGACCAGCCTGGCAAACATGGTGAAACCCCATCTCTACTAAAAATACAGAAAAATTAGCTGGGCGTGGTAGCATTCGCCTGTAATCCCAGCTACCCAGGAAGCTGAGACAGGAGAATTGCTTGAATCCGGGAGGCAGAGGTTGCAGTGAGCCAAGACTGAGCCACTGCACTCCAACCTGGGCAACAAGAGTGAAACTCTGTCAGGAAGTGAAGGGAAGGGAAGGGAAGGGAAGGGAAGGGTTCTGTTCGTTACAAATTACCAGTCTTGAGTGATTTTGTAGCAGCCCAAAATAGACTACGATGATATTATATGATCCCATTTATATTATTTAAAACATAAGAAAAATAATCTATGGAGGTGGAGGTCAGAGAGTTAGGATAATTGAAATGAGGCAAAAGGCAGCTGTTGGTTGCTGAAAAATTCAGTATCTTGGCCTGAATTTTGGTTATATATAATAAGCCGTAAGCTGAATAGGTTTCATGTGTTTTATTTTATATAAATGAAGGCTTAAATTTAAATACAAGAAAAAAAAAGGTTTTCCTAAGTACTTCCTATCCTCCAGTACATTCTCTCTCTTCCTTAGGGTTGTTTTGTTTTGTTTTGTTGAGACGGAGTCTCGCTCTGTCGCATCCTCATGATTATTAGGACTTGGATGGACGGGATGGTACAGTGAGTCTAAGCGCCACATCCCTCCGTCGCTTCCTCTGGATATGAGGGAAGAAAGGTACTTTTTTTGTCCTTAGGGAGGAAGACTCGACCAGGAAGGGGACCTGGTTCGTTTCGGCTTCAAGAGCGCCTCTCCGCTATTTCCGTCGCTCAGCAGACCGGCTGAACTCTTTGGAGGAGAGAGTGATACTGGGTTTTGGTTTGCCCTTCAGGAACCGCTGATACTGTAGCTTCTGAGGGAGCTGCAGGGATTTCCCGATTTCCTGCGTGCCTGTGTTAAAAGTTAGAAGCGGGATCTGCTGGCAGCTTCGAAACTGAGCATGACGGTGGAAACATCTAATTTTATTAGTTTTTGCTTGAAATGCAAAAGATGAGAAAGAAAGTTTCCGTTTGTTTGCTCCACATATTTCTCTTAGAATGAAGCCGATTGAAAGTTAACTTCACCCTGAAGAAACTCCTCCTGGCGTTTGCAACGATCTCCTGTATGTCTCACGTCCAGCTTGACTCAAAAGGACTCTAAAGAGCTGGAGAGCGGCTGCGGAAAGGCGGAGTCACGGTACAATCGGTGTTAACTACTTGTGCAACCACCGCCTCCTTAGTCCTATTAGAGGCGCAGAGGCAGTATAGCTGAATCCCTCACAAGTCGAGTGGGTTGACCTCAGATTGACTTTAGCGATGGCTTGTGACCACCTGATAGATAGTGGCCGTTACAGCGTTTAGAAAGTGAGTAAAAGAAAGGATGCATAGGGAAGCCCACAAGTTTGCTTGGCTTCTGCAGATGGAGAGAGGTCGCTTTTCTGCCTTCTGGATGTTTAGTAACTTATTTTTTATTTCCTTTGTTGGCATGAAATAGAGCTGAAAATAAAAGCAGATTTTCTTTTAACAAGATAGTATTAAGATGCTTGCAGAGTATTTCTCTGTGGATTTCTGCTTGGCACTGTGATACCACAAAGAGCTCTAATCTGGAGGTATGGGTTGTTCCCTAGCTTAGAAGGAGGTCAATCCTGGAGAGTAAGTACTGTGAGGTACAAAAGGATCCTTTGGGATTGGAAAAATAAACGTTCATTACTTTTATTTATGTAAAACAGCAAAATGAGCTTTCTCCTATACTGATCTTGGTCCCTGGAGTTCAGAGTGTTTGCATCTCAGACCAGAAGCTTCCTCAGAGGACCCAGAGAAGTGCTTTTTACTTCCACCAAATTTCAGCTGAGGTGAATGCTGTCTTTTCGTCATTTGTTGTGTGTTTGTAGTTAAGTAGTTTAAGTTTCAGAGTTTGTGGGTCTCCAATGGAAAAGGTTACCACCACACATCAAACCATCAACCCCTGGCAGTGTAATCTTTTAGTGAAAGCTTGTAGGGCTTCTGCAACCTGGTTAGGAGGAGTTAGAAAAAGAAACAGAAAAAGACTTGAGCCTTTTAGCTTCTGATCTGAAATCAGACTTGGGCCACACAGGTCTATGGTTTCTGATGATTTCATTTACAGCTAGAAATTGGCTGGATGGCCAGGAATACTACTTGCTTCCCCCGTGCGTGGTCCATGTTAATGATTGATGGGACTGCTTAGAAAGAATAGGCGGATAATCCTAGGCAGCAAATAACCTCAAGTGAATGAACACGCATCACCCTCTGTATGAGAGAGAAATGCAGAGGCCAACACAATTCACCTTGACAGACAGAAAAATTTAAAGTTGGGGAATATCATGGACCGCTTCTTACTGGTGTCCCGGGGAAGAAAACACGGCCTGGAGGTACTGGGGATCGAACCCAGGACCTCGTGCATGCTAAGCACGCGCTCTACCACTGAGCTATACCCCCTCTGGACTCAGGGCCTTCGGAAAACGCTTTGGTGACGGCCAATATGTGAGCCTGCCCTCTGTGTCAGGATAATCACTATATGTTTCCAATTCCATTGTTAATTCCCTACATGAAGCGCTTCCTCTTTTAGGCACGGCTGGGCCAAAAGAAGAGTAGCTTAGCCGGGTGCAGTGGCTTATGCCTGTAATCCCAGCACTTTGGGAGGCTGAGGCGGGTGGATCACGAGGTCAGGAGTTCAAGACCAGCCTGGGCAAGATAGTGAAACCCTGTCTCTACTAAAAATAGAAAAATTAGCCGGGCGTGGTGACAGGCGCCTGTAATCCCAGCTACTCTGAAGTAGAGAATTGCTTGAACCCGGGAGGCAGAGGTTGCAGTGAGCCGAGATCGGGCCACTGCACTCCAGCTTGAGCGACAGAGCGAGACTCCGTCTCAAAAAAAGAAAGAAAGAAGAAAGAGAGAGAGAGAGAGAGAGAGAGAGAGACAGAAACAAAGAAAGAAAGAGAGAAATAAAGAGAAAGAAAGAAAGAGAAAAGAAAGGAAAGTAGCTTAGTGGTAAAAATAAAGGCACTGTTCCTGATTTGTGGTCAACCCAAGATCAACTCACCCCAAGGTGGACTCTCCATCACGTTAGACTTCCTGGAGCATACTTGCATTCTATCATTTGAGTGTGTCCCGGTATACAACATTCTCTTGCAAATTTTCTGATTATAACTTTCTGTATTCTTTTGACTCTTGGAAGCATGTTGGTGTTTCACATAGTCAAAAAATAAAACTGACTCAAGTGCGTGTGAAAATACCTTAAAATTCAATACGAATAGAGGCAAATTCAAATGGCGTTGTCTATCGCTTCTCGGCCTTTTGGCTAAGATCAAGTGTAAAATTGCATTGTGAAACAATAACATACTCCTACTTGAAAAGGAAAGAACTGATCTATGAAAATGGTTTATACAGTTTGTTGTTCTAATTGTAAGATTAAAAAGAATTGCAAACAAATCTTGAACTCTGTATCAGGGTTATTTTTGTAGAGCTAGGGCTGTAAGAATTCTGAGATTTTGTGTGAATTTTAGGATTGGGAAAATGAGTGTGTGTGACCGGGTGTGTTGGAACCAGGCTGTCACTGTAAGAGAAAGAAGGTAAAGAATAGTCCTGTTGGTGTTGATGAGAATTGGAGGCGTCAGTATGAAATTATACATATGTAATTTTATAGGCTGGGCGCAGTGGCTCACGTTTGTAATCTCAACACTTTGGCAGGCCAAGACGGGCAGCTCACTTGAGGTCAGGAGTTCGAGAACAGCCTGGCCAACATGGTGAAACCCCCGTCTCTACTAAAAATACAAAAATTAGCCGGATGTGGTTGTGCGTGCCTGTAGTCCCAGCTACTCGGAAGTCTGAGGCAGGAGAATCGCTTGAACTCAGGAGGCAGACGTTGCAGTGAGCCAAGATCCTGCCACCGCACTCTGGCCTGGGTGACTTAGACTTTGTCTCAAAAAAAAAAAAAAGTAAAATTTCCCTGCAGATCTGTCTGCTAACTGGGCCTGGAAGAAATACCTCAGAAACAATAAGCAAAGATAACAATATTTTGATTCACAAATACCATTCCCTACTAAAAGGCACCAGAGATACTAATAGAAAGTAGCTACTAGTGTCAACTACACTGACTCCAGGACTCATGCCACTGCACTACAGCCTGGGCGACAAAGCGAGACTCTGTCTCAAATAAATAAATAAATATGGAAGATGGGAAGATTTTCTTTACAGTGGTATGCCAGCTAATAAATGTGGAAAGAAGGATAAAATTTGCAAATCCCCATTAGAAAATTAGAAAATCTGGACACCATCAGAATGCTGATAGGTGCAGGCAAAATTATAAGTCAATGCTAAAAGTATAGGTAAAATTTTGATGAGGATCAGGATATTTATATAGTCTCAGAGTATTTCTCTAGAGCTTACTTATTGATTACAATGAGGAAGATGATACTTTTGCAGGGAAGAAATAGTAGTTACAAACTTAACCAAATGATGAAAGCTAACTTCACTAATAATGGGGAAAATTGGCATCACATGCTTCTTGGTGTGATAGAGGATAATATGATTTTTTGTGACATTTCTTCCAATTTCCATAAACTTAATCTTACCATGAGTAGGACAAATTAAGAAATATTCCACAAACCACTGGCATATACTCTTCAAAAACATTATCAAAGTTGTGAAAGACACAATTGAGCAACTGTTCTAAATTAAAGGAGACTAAAGAGTCAAGACAATTAGATTCATATGTGTCTGTGAAATGGATCCTAGCTTGGGAGAGAAATTTCTATAAAAGATTGTATTGATACAATTAGTTAAATTTTTATAGATTGTATATTAGATAATGCTATTTTATCAATGTTAAGTTTACTGAATTTGATAATTGTGCTGTGTTAAGGAACTGATCTTGTTTTAAGAAATACACATTGATGAATTTAGGGATTAAAAAGATATAATGTCTGAAAATCATCAAATAGTTTAGAGAAATAATCTTTGAGATCTCTCTCTGTGTCTCTCTCCATATATATATATGGAGTGTATATATATATATATATATATATATATATATGGAGTATATATATATATATATATATGGAGTATATATATATATGGAGTATATATATATATGGAGTATATATATATATATGGAGTATATATATATATATGGAGTATATATATATATATGGAGTATATATATATATATGGAGTATATATATATATATGGAGTATATATATATATGGAGTATATATGTATATATATATGGAGTATATATATATATGGAGTATATATGTATATATATATGGAGTATATATATATATATGGAGTATATATATATATATATGGAGTATATATATATATATATTCCATTGTTGCTGATTGTTTGGTTGAAGAGGCAAGATGGTCTGAAATGATCCCAAGATGTGGACAATATGTGCTTCTCATGTGGTTCCCATTCCATTTTAAATGTTTCCAGGCAGAAACAAAGATACAAATTTCTCAATTTGTATTCAAATCTAACAGGTGTTTTATTCTATTTTCCTGTTCACACTCCCTGTTTGGGAGTCAATCAACTAAGGACATCTGAAGGAAACAGAATTTAATTCTCAGAGTCAGGAGGTGATGAGAGACTGCTTTGGTAGGGAAAGTAATAGTAAATTTGTTCTTTCTTGGTTAAATAAAGAAGAAAAAGAAAGAAGAGAGGGAGGCAGGGAAAGAAATAGAAGACATAACAATCCTAAATATGTATCCACCAAACAGGAGAGCTGCAACATATGTAAAGATAAAAAAACAGAACTTTAAAAAAAAATAGACAAATCCACAATTACTTTGGAGACTTCAAAACTTCTCTCATAATGATTGATAGAACAACTAAACAGAAAATCAGCAAGAATGTTGAAGAACTAGGCCGGGCGTGGTGGCTCACACCTGTAATCCCAGCACTTTGGGAGGCCGAGGCGGGCGAATCATGAGGTCAGGAGATCAAGACCACCCTGGCTAACACGGTGAAACCCCATCTCTACTAAAAAATACAAAAAAATTAGCCGGGCGTGGTGGCGGGTGCCTGTAGTCCCAGCTACTCTGGAGGCTGAGGCAGGAGAATGGCGTGAACCCGGGAGGCTGAGCTTGCAGTGAGCCGAGATCGCGCCACTGCACTCCAGCCTGGGCAACAGAGCAAGACTCTGCTTCAAAAAAAAAAAAGAGTGTTGAAGAACTCAAACATCTTCAGCCACCAGAATTCAGTTAACATTTATAAAACAGTCCACACAGGAAGAGCAGAACACACTAGTCAAATCCACACTGAATATAGGTAAAGGTAAAACATATCCTGGGCCATAAAACAAACCTCAACAAATTTAAAAGAATTAACTAATATGGTATAATCCCTGACCAAAATGAAATTAAAGTAAAAATCAGTCACAAAAAGACAGAAAAATGTCCAAACGCTTGGAAAATGAACAACACACTACTAAACAGTTCATACAACAAAGAGAAAACCTTAGTAGATATCAAAAAATAAGGTAGCATGAATAAAAATGAAAATACAATATATTAAAAATTCCAAGATATCCTAAAGGAGTGCTGAGAGAGAAATATACAGCACTAAGTGCATACATTAGAAAAGAAAAAAGTCCCAAATCAGTCCTCTAAGCTCTTACTTGTAGAAATCAGGTGGGAAAAAGAGCAAAATAACCCAAAGCAAATAGAAGAAAGGAAATAATAAAAAATAAAAGCAGAAATCAGTGAAATGGAACACACGCACACACACACACACAAAAATAGAAAAACAAACAAAAAGCTAGTTCCTTTCAAGGATCAATAAAAGAAGAACTCTAGCAAGATAGAAATTTTCAGCAGAGAGATGACACAGTTTACCAACATCAGGAATAAAAAGAGGACATCACTGTAGACTCAGCTGACATCAAAAGGATGAAGGAGGCTGGGAATGGTGGCCCACGCCTGTAATCCCAGCACTTTGGGAGGCCGAGGTGGGTAGATCACTTGAGGTCAGGAGTTTGAGACCAGCCTGACCAATATGTCAAAACCCCGTCTCTACTAAAAAACAAAAATTAGCTGGGCATGGTGGCAGGCGCCTGTGATCCCAGCTACTCAGGAGACTGAGGCAGGAGAATCGCTTGAACTCAATAGGCGGAGGTTGCAGTGAGCCAAGATTGCACCACTGCACTTCAGCCTGGGTGACAGAGCAAGACTCCCTCTCACAAAAACAGAACAAAACAAAACAAAAACAAACAAAAAAGAAATGGTAAATCCAACCCCACCCCTGACATAATGCAACTACAAACCCCACTGGCTGTCCTACGTGGTTTAAGTTTTTGATTGAGAATAGGCAAGGAACCCCAGGAAAAAATCTTCCCCCTCAGCAGCCACCTGATCCTGGGACCTCCTTCTTAAACTTCTAGAACAGTGCTTCTCAAACTTTAGCATCAGAGTCACTTGAGGGCTTATTCAAACACAAGAGGCTGAGCCCCATGCTCAGCAGTTCTGATTCAATAGATCTGAGGTTAGGCCTGGAATTTAGCATTCTGCTTGCAGCACCCTAATTCCCCACCCCTTGCTCTCCTGTGCAGTGTCCGCTGTGGCTGACATGCCGCTGTTTGCCTGGAGAGAACCAATAGATGCCAGGAAATTAAAAAAGAAAAAGTATGAAACACAAAGAAAATACATGACACGTGGGTATTACCTTCCTCCAAAAAATGTATCTCAAAACAAACATGTGATTGGCCTGGGGGCACACACACAGCCAGTCCTCAGCTAAGCAGGTTTCACTAGACCGTATCCCTCCTGGATGCTAGTTATAGATACTTTCACTGGACAAAAGAATCAAGAAGTAAAGACATGCCAGCCTGATAGAGTGTTAGGCTGGTGGACTGGGAATAAACATTGTAGTTTCTTGTCTCTCAAAGACACTTTAATTCAACAATAAATAAATAAATATGTACAGAGAGAACAGCAGTTTTGAAACTGTATACCATTGGAAACCTTTAACAGGTACCATGAGTGCATAGAATTTCTTGGGAGTTCCCTTTTCAAAAAAAGCAGTTGTAATCAGATGGATCGAGAAAGAACATGAAATGTTTGTTTGGTTTTTTCCAAGGCAGAAAGCGCCCACACAATTGCGATCTACTTACCTTTTACTCTGCATGTATTTTCCATTGTGACAGAAAACCTTTCCCTGGTTTTTTCTTATGGGCCTCTGTTTGCTGTTACCAGAAGTTCCCAGGCAATATTACAGTGACTGAGGAAATGCAGGAATATGAATATGAATCAGTCTTATGGAATATCAGTAGGGAATGTTGATCCGTATTAGTTTTTGCTTCTTGCATGTTGAAGGCCTCTAATTCCCGGACAGTCTTCGTTTGGCCGTCCAGCGTCCTGCCACTCCTATCTCAAGTGGCTAGAGAGCCACAGCAGTCCTTGTCTCAGTATTGGATCGCACTTATGTCCCTATGTAGGTTGACAGGGAGAGACTGGTGTAGAAATGAGTGGACAGATGCTTTCGCTCTGTTCTTTGGCCCAGAAAACAAAAATAACTTAAAAAAAAAAAGATGCCCACTGGCATTTTTCTCTCTTCTTGGTCTTTGCGTCTCTTTAATCATAGTACAAAATGGAAGGCCGGGCGCGGTGGCTCACGCCTGTAATCCCAGCACTTTGGGAGGCCGAGGCGGGTGGCTCACGAGGTCGGCAGTTCAAGACCAGCCTGACTAACATGGTGAAACCCCGTCTCTACTAAAAATACAAAAAAATTAGCTGGGCGTGGTGGCGGGCGCCTGTAATCCCAGCTACTTGGGAGGCTGAGGCAGGAGAATCTCTTGAAACCGGAAGGCGGAGGTTGCAGTGAGCCGAGGTGGTGCGACTGCACTCTAGCCTGGGCAACGAGAGCAAAACTCCGTCTCAAAAAACAAAACAAACAAACAAAAACAAAACAAAACAAAACAAAATGGGAGCGAACGCAAGCCGCCTGTGAATGTTCATGCTTTTGTTTGGGTCAGGAGACCACTGTTGCGATCCTGTTCTTTCCCCCTCGTTACTTTTTTGTCTTCCTTCTGCTGTCGCAATCGCCTTATGTGATGTTGAGGCTCACAGCATAGAGGTTGGAGATAGTTCAAGGCAATGCATTGGAGTACATTTTTACTTACTATATGTGCAGAAATAGAATAGAAAAATGTGAGGAGGCAGAGGTCTGTCGCTTGAGAACTGCCAGAGGGAAACCATCACTTGGAGGTGTCGGGGATCGAACCGAGGCCTCATACATGCAAAGCATGCGCTCTACCACTGAGCTACACCCCCTTACTATAACACCCATTTGTAATAATTTTCAGGAGGTAACTTTCATTTTCTGAGACTCCGTGAGCATGCTGGTAATAGTGGTCAGTACCATAGAGCGTGGAGAGCTACTCTGAGCAGGAGATACTTGGTACTAATGGGGGATACAGATTCTTTAGAATACTGTGTAGGACTTGAAACGAAAAACGAAAGATTAGAAAAGTGTCAGATAATAACCACAAGAAGTTTCCTTTGTGGCCTGAAGACGTTGAGTTCTTAGGGTCTGCTTCTATTATGCTTGGCAAGAATCAAGTTCTGATTTTCGTTTCTTTTGATTTCTTCCAGATATAACACAAAGCCATTGAAATTCAGCCTTTTCCTGCCTAAAACGCTTCATAATTGTTGTTTGCTCAGTCGGAATATCAAAGGTAAGATTTGATAGAGGAAAGCCATGATCAGAAGAAAACCTGAGAGCGGTGCACTCAACATTTTTTCACAGGGGTCCTTAGCTGGCGTGGTGTCTTACTCCTGTACTCACAACTCCAGAGGCTGAGGCACGAGGATCGCTTGAACTTGGGAGTTAGCGATTGTAGGGAGCTATGATTGCACCACTACCCTCGAGCCCGGACAATGGAGTGAGAAAAGCAAGCAAGCAAGCAAGCAAGAGAAAGTGGGAGTGAGGGACGGAGGGAGGGAAAGAGGGAAGGAAGGGGGGAAGGAAGGGAGAAAGGAAGGAAGGAAGGAGAAAGAGGGAGGAAGGGAAGGAAGGAAAGGAGAGAGAGAGAGAAGAAGACGGGAGGTGAGGGGAGGGAATTCATAAGGCATAAATGAAAACCAGCTTTGGGGGTGGAGATGAGGGTTGAATTATGAGAGTAAGACGAAAGATAAATAGAAACAGGATTGAAGAGTAGTTCAGAAAAACAAACATGCTATTGCCAAAGACAAGCAGGCACAGAAAAGGGGAGGTTTTAACAACTCTTTCAGGAATGGGAGAAAGATTGAAAGATGGAGAAGATGAGTTAGTTTGGCTCATGCTAAATTTAAAATATCTGTGGGGCACGCCTGTGAGGATATTACACAGAGAACTCAGGCAATTAACTCCGTCTCCAGCCTGGGGTTTGTAAGCATTAGTAGTAGTAGACACATTACATGGAGGTGGATAAAGACTAAAAAGTGTACTTTGAGATATGGAAATTACAAACCTATTCGTGATATTTGTAGGCAACAAACAAGTTTTCTTCTAACTAGTTCTCGAATCTTGGGACTTATCACGGTGAGACTGGATTCTTTGAACTATATAAGAAGATGAGAAGAAAACCCATTTCTCGGAACCAAATTTCTGGTGACGATTAACTCTTTCTCATTCTGGTTTGCCCATATATGAGCCTTTGCCAATGTTAATAAAATAACATTGATCCATTTTAAAATTGGCAGATTGCAAGTTGTATGGCAGACTTGGCTTTTCAGTTGGCTGACGGGATTTCTAGAATAAAAATAGGAAACTGAGTAATAGGTTTCACTGAATGAGAGACTAGAGAAGCGTTACACACAAAATTCATATGTATTCATGTGTGTGCGTGTCTGCCTGTCTGTGTCTGTTTGTGTGTGCATGTAAATGCTTGGGAGGATTATCTTGACTCTTTGATGCTGTAAAAGCAATATTAGGACAGTTTGCAGAAACACTCCTTCATCCTTATGTCATGTCACAGCCAGAGAAACCTGGCTGTCTATCAGATTCTTGGGAATTCATAATAAGAAGATATGCTTTTTTGTTTGCCACATGAAAGGGGGGAATTTAAAATAATTAAATATCCATATCTATCTTCAGGCTATCTACCAACAACATGATTGAAACACTTTTTTTTTTGCGTATAATGTGTAGGATGAGCTTATTTATCACAGCATTCTTCTGAGGAATTAAACATTTAATTTTGAAGACAGAACACCCTCACGTCATACATACTCAGTTCTGAAAACCTAAAAATATATAAAGTACCTGTTTAAATCTGCACTTTCCAATATGGTTACCATTAGCCACATTGGCTATTGAATGCTTGAAATTGCCCAGTCCAAGGTAAGATGTGTTGTAAGTATAAAATATATACCAGATTTCAAAGATGCAATATCATTTTTAATATAAAATAACTCACTTATAATTTTAAGATGGATTACTTAAAATAATGTTGTTATACAAGGCCATTTACGTATATTATTAAAACTGGACATAAAAGACGGAAACAGTAAACATCGGGGACTACTAGGGAGTAGCTGGGAAGGGGAAAGGCTTGAAAAGCTAACTATTGGATACTATGCTCACTACCCGGGTGACAGGATTAATCCCACCCCAACCCCAGCATCATGCAATATACCCATGTAAGAATCCTGCACATGTACCCCCTGAATCTAACATAAAAGTTGAAATTATTTTTAAAATAATATAGAGACCGGGCTCGGTGGCTCACGCCTGTAATACCAGCACTTTGGGAGACCGAGGTGGGCGGATCACCTGAGATCGGGAGTTCAAGACCAGCCTGACCAACATGGAGAAACCTCGTATCTACTAAAAGTACAAAATTGGGGCCGGGCGCGGGGTCTCACGCATGTAATCCCAGCACTTTGGGAGGCCGAGGCGGGCGTATCACGGGGTCAGGAGATCGAGACCATCCTGGTTAACACGGTGAAACCCCAATTCTACTAAAAAATACAAAAAATTAGCCAGGCGTGGTGGCAGGCGCCTGTAGTCCCAGCTACTCGGGAGGCTGAGGCAGGAGAATGGCGTGAACCCGGGAGGCGGAGCTTGCAGCGCGCGCCACTGCACTCCAGCCTGGGCGACAGAGCGAGACTCCGTCACACACACAAAAAAAAAATTAGCTGGGGTGGTGGCGCGTGCCTGTAATCCCAGCTACTCGGGAAGCTGAGGCGGCAGGAGAATCGCTTGAACCCTGGAGGCAGAGGTTGCGGTGAGCCGAGATCGCGCCATTGCACTCCAGCCTGGGCAACAAGAGCGAAACTCCATCTACAAAAAAAAAAAAAAAAAAAAAAAAAAAAGATATAGAATAAATATTGCCTGTTTTTTTTAATGTGACTACTAGAAAATTTAGAACTACAAAAGTGACTCGCATTTATGACTTGTGTTTTTTTAATTATTTTTATTCCGGAAGATAAAGTAGAAGACTTGTATTATCTTTTAATTGGACAGCATTGTCTAGAGATGATGTTATCTCTTTAAATGCTGTTCTGGGAGATTCCCAGAGCCAGAGAACATGGAGCATGGTCTCCCAGTAATTAAGTTTCATGCCTTGAGTGTTCTCGACAGAATGCATTTCTATGCATAATCTCCTTAGATCTTTACAACATCCAATTTAACATAATTATTATTAGCTACATTTTTAAGCTATTGAATAGAAGACAAATCATGCTTGGAATTACCCTAGACCTTCCCTTTCAACAGAATGTAAAGGAATCATTACCGTGTTAGGCAAGAAAACATTCAGTGCTACCATTTGACTAATCAAATATTTCTTAATGAAATGAAACACAAGCTTCTGAGTTGAGAAAGCCTCAGTGACCTAAAGGATAAAGTATCTGATTTACAGTTTCTGTAGAGTCAGTGTCCTCACCCTGAGGTTTCTTCTCATTTGGTACTAATTTTCCTTTTTCAACTTGCTGCAGTTCTGATGTTGAAGTACTGTAGATTGTTTAGTCTCCTCACACAGTATGCAGGAGTTAGGGGAAAATAACTCTCAAAATGAAACAGCAATTTGAAAGAAAAAAGGAGGGAAAAAAAAGACCCATTACCCCCAACACAGTATTTCAACAGAGAAGTTGAAGTGGAAAAGGGAAAATGAGGCACATGCACCTGAATCTTGATGACTTTGCTGCCCATTTGCTTTCATTTTCAGTATTCTAAGGCCCCTCATGAATGTCTGACAGAATAATTCATATACAAGTACTTGTTTTTGTTCTTTCCTGGATTCCAACACAGAAATTAGTTAAGATTTGGAAATTCTGGACAAGGGTGCCAGGCTTCCTGTCAGTAAGAAAACTTAGAATATTCCTGTAATTAGGCCTGGTGTGGTGGCTCAAGCCTGTAATCCCAGCATGGTGAGAGGCAGAGGTGAGCCAGGATTTCCAGAAGAGCCAGGGCAACATGGTGAAACCCAGTCTCTACCAAAAAAATTAAAAAAAAAACAAAACCAAAAAACAAACAAACAAACAAAAAGCCAGGCTTGTTGTTGCATTTCTGTAGTCTCAGCTACTCAGGAGGTTGACATAGGAGGATCGCTTGAGTCCAGGGAGGCTGAGGCTGCAGTGAGCTGTGATCATACCACTGCATTCCAGCATGGGTGACAGAGTGAGACCCTGCCTCAGAAAAACAAAACAAAGCAAAAGTTATTTTTCCAGCAGTTTAACTGCGGAGCTATGGAGTTGACTCAAGGTACAAACCCGGTTTTTTCTAATTGCAAAATGTTTCTTGAATATACCACCACCACATATATACACTCATACAGTATAATAGTTCTTCTTCTACAGGTTTCTTCACATTTCTTGTGATTTAAAAACACCCCCGCCCAACACACATAAATAACATCAGATCAGAAATGAATTGTAAGTGCCACAGCATATAGCATATTGGAATTTCTTAGGTTTTAAAAGTAATAACTTGCTAGGTTTAAGACTTTAAATAATTTACGTCCTGTCAGTTAACACTTCATGGAAGTCTTCAGTGGAGAGAGTGTTACAAATATATATATATATATGTGTTTGTGTGTAAATATATATATATAGATGTGTGTGTGTGTGTGTGTGTGTGTGTGTGTGTGTATACATTACCTTTATGGAATTTTCAGAAAACAGCCAAAAAAAAGAAAAAAGAAAAAAGAAACAAAAAAACCACAAACACCTGGAGTTATATATAGACCTCTGGGATTGGTGCGCAAGCGCTGTGTTGAAGGAGTGACAATTATGCTAAAACCAAAATGCAACTGCCGAAACCCGGGATTGAACCAGGGACCTTTAGATCTTCAGTCTAACGCTCTCCCAACTGAGCTATCTCGGCCACCGTGATCCTACTGCTTTTGTCATTTCTTCAAAATACAGAAACTGCCATTTGTAGGGTCAGTGTATCTTCCAACGCCTAATTCTGTTGTCTTCAATATCACCCGTCATTCACTCACCTCCCCTCCACCCAAGAAATATAAGTTCTGCTGCAATTTATGTGTGAAATAGGATCCAATTTTCCCCAGCAAAAGATGGGAAAGAAAAGGCGAGGAATAGGTCAAATGAGGAAGATACTCCCATGCTTGGTCACCGTATAAAACACTGCTCAGAAAACTAAGGAATTCAAAATGAAATTATGTAGGCATTTCCTTTTCTCTTTTTTCGGATTTTCTTTTTCTGGCTTGCTCTTCAATGGCATGTCATAAAGGAACAGAAGATTAGTGGACACTTTAACACGGTAGTGGGCTTATAGCTTCCGAAAAAAGACATCCTGAGCGAGGTAGTTCTTTTTTTCTATTTTCTTCCTTTTACCAGTCTTGTGCTCACACATCCACCTTGGGTGGTACGGAGACCCAGGGAGTGAAAATGGAAAGTATAATATGTTTGTTTGTTTGTTTCTTTGTTTCTTTGTTTTGAGATGGAGTCCCGCTCTGTCTCCCAGGCTGGAGTGCAGTGGCACGATCTGGACTTAGTGCAACCTCCGTCTTTCAGGTTCAAGCGATTCTCCTGACTCAGTCTCTTCCAGTAGGTGGGATTACAGGCGCGCCCCACCACGCCCAGCTAATTTTTTTGTATTATTAGTAGAGACGAAGTTTCACCATGTTGATCAGTCTGGTCTCGCCTCGGCCTCCCAAAGTGCTAGGATTACAGGCTTGAGCCACCGTTCCCGGCCTATTCCTTGGAGTTCAGAGAATTGTGGTCTGCACATTGATGCATAAGAATTGTTTTTTTTTTTCCAGCTGGGTGCAGTGGCTCACGCCTGTAATCCCAGCACTTTGGGAGGCCAAGGCGAGCAGATCGCCTGAGGTCAGGAGTTGGAGACCAGCCTGTCCAACATAGTGAAACCCCATGTTGTCTCTACTGAAAACACAAAAATTAGCCCCGCGTCGAGGCGCGCCCCTGTAGTCCCAGCTACAGAATCTCTTGAACCCAGGAGGCAGAGGTTGCAGTGAGCCGAGATCACACCACTACACTCCAGCCTGGGTGACAGAGCAAGACTCCATCTCAAAAAAAAAAAAAAAAATTGCTTTTTACATACACATCTGTAATCATGAGATTGTATTTATTTATTTTTATTTTGACAGTGTCCCACTCTGCCAGACTGGAGTGCAGTGGCAATCTCCTCTCACTGCAACTTTCACCTCCTGGCTCAATCAGTTCTTCCACCTCAGCCTAGAAGTTTTATATCAATTCAAAAGTGTCAAGACATTGGACTCCTCTTGATAAATAACTTAAGAACAATTTAAGACGTTTACAGAATTTCAGAAACAGTTCTCTCTGGAATGAGGGAATTGCTATGGCCAATAATTACTTGCAAACTGAATTTTAATAAAACCCTCTCTATGTCTGGACAGTTTTCAAACTGAGTCTCCTATTCTGAAAGAGTCAAGGCTTTCAGTTTTAGCCAAAATTTGATGGAAGGGTCGATAAGAAATTGTTCTTGAAGCCAGGAGTGGTGGCTCACGCCTGTAATCCCAGCACTTTGGGAGGCAGAGGCGGGTGGATCACCTGAGGTCAGAAGTTCGAGACCAGCCTAGTCAACATGGTGAAACCCCGTCTCTACTAAATGCACATAAATTAGCCAGGCATGGTGGCGGGCGCCTATAATCCCAGCTACTCAGGAGGCTGAGGCAGGAGAATCGCTTGAACCCGGGAAGCAGAGGTTGCAGTGACCCGAGATCGCACCACTGCGCTCCAGCCTGGGCAACAAGAGCGAAACTTCGTTTCCCCCCCAAAAAATTGTTTCTGGATGATTAGATGATTTCCTAAAAATTAAATAAATAAAATTTATAAAATTATGTTCGCTTTCAGTCTTTGTCTTGTCCTCCCGCTTGTAAGGTCCGAGCCTTCTCAGACAGGAAACAACATTCCTCTGGGTTTATCCCCTCCGCCTCACGTCTCTCCCCAGCTGGGCGCAGCCTCAGCCTATGCTGCAGAAATGTTAAAAGTTGAACATACAGAGAGGAAAAAAATGGAACGTGATGCGGAAATTAAAACAGCAGCTACATATAAATCTCAACACAGTGCTTAAAATGTGTGTAAATGGTTCTAGGACTGCGCTGCACTATTGTGAAAAGTTCATTCAGAAGTAAATGGGAGGGAAGGTGGAGAGGAGCTGAGCGCCAGCTGGCGGAGAGAGGGAAAAGGAGGGGTGCCGTGAAGTGGAGGAAGAAAAACACAAATGGGAGAGAGATAGAGGGCAAGGAAAAGCATCCTTAAGATGATTCGGACTTGGATGGACGGGACCGTAGAGTGAATCTAAGCGCCACATCTCTCCGTCGCTTCCTCTGGCCGTGAGGGAAGAGAGGTGTCCCTAGGGAGGTAGGCTGGACCAGGAAGGAGACCTGGTTCGTTTCGCCCAGGCTGTCACGGCTTCAAGAGCGCCTCTCCGCTATTTCCGTCGCTCGACAGACGGGCTGAGCTCTTTGGAGTGATGTTGGGTTTTGGTTTGCGCCTCAGGAACCGCTGATACCGTAGCTTCTGAGGGAGCTTCAGGGATTGCCTGGCTTCCTAAGTGCCCGTGTTGAGAGTTAGAAGCGGGATCTGCCGGCAGCTAAGAGACTGAGCATGACGGCGGAAACATCTAATTTTATTAGTTTTTGCTTAAAATGCAAAAGATGAGAAAAAGTTACCGTTTCTTTGCTCCATATATATCTCCTAGAATAAAGCCAATCGAAAGCCAACTTCACCCTAAAGAAACTCTTCCTGGCGTTTGCAACGAGCTCCTTTACTCCTAACGTCCAGCTCTTGGCTCAGGACCTGCAGAGCGTCACAGCTGTTGCAGAAAGGCGAAGTCGAGGTACAATCGGTGTTAACTACGTGTGCAGCCACCGTCTTCTTAGTCCTGTTACAGGTGCAGAGGCAATATAAGTGAACCACTCACAAGTCGTGTGGGCTGACCTCAGATTGAGTTTAGCGATGACTTGTGACCACCTGGTAGATGGTGGACCGTTACAGCATTTAGAAAGTGAGTAAAAGAAAGGATGCATACGGAAGCCCACACGCTTGCTTGGCTCCTGCAGATGGATAGAGGTCACTTTTCTGCCTTCTGGGTGTTTAGTAACTTATTTTTTTTTTTGCTTTGTTGGCATGAAATAAAGATGAAAATAAAAGCAGATTTTCTTTTAACAAGTTAGTATTAACATGCTTGCAGAGTATTTCCCTGTGGATTTCTGCTTAGTACTGTAATACCAGAATCAGAAACTCTACAAAGAGCTCTCTAATCTGGAGGTATGGGTTGTTCCCTAGCTTAGAAGGAGGTTATTTCTGGAGAGTAAGTACAATCAGGTAGAAAAGGATCCGTTGGGCTTGGGAGAATAAACGTTCATTACTTTTATTTATGAAAAACAACAAAATGAGCTTTCTCCTATACTGATCTTGTTTCCTGGAGTTCAGAGTATTTGCATCTCAGACCAGAAACTTCCTTGAGGACCCAGAGAAGTACTTTTTACTTCCACCAAATTTCAGCTGAGGTGACTGCTATCTTTTCATCATTTGCCTTGTGTTTGTAGTTAAATAGTTTAAGTTTCAAACTATGTGGGTCTCTAATGGAAAAAGTGACCACCAGCACATCAAATCATCAACCACCGGCAGTGTAATCTTTTAGTGAAAGCTTGTAGGGCTTCTCAACCTGGTTAGAGGGAGTTAGAAGAAGAAACAGAAAAGGACGTGAGCCTTTTTAGCTTCTGATCTGAAATCAGACTTGGGCCACACAGTTCTATGGTTTCTGATGATTTCATTTACAACTAGAAATTGGTTGCATGGCCAGGAATACTGCTTGCTTCCCTCGTGCGTGGTTCATGTTAGTGATTGGTGGACTGCTTAGAAAATATAAGTGGATAATCCTAAGCAGCAAATAGATTCAAAGGAATAAACACGAGTCACCTCTGTGTATGAGAGAGAAATGCAGAGGCCAACACAATTCACCTTGACAGACAGAAAAATTTAAAGTTGGGGAATATCATGGACCGCTTCTCACTAGTGCCCGGGGAAGAAAACAAAACCTGGAGGTATTGGGGATTGAACCCAGGACCTCGTGCATGCTAAGCACGCGCTCTACCGCTGAGCTATACCCCCTCTGGAAGACTTGCCTTTTAGAGAATATTTTGATGACTATTATTGTCTGAGTCTGGGCTCTGTGTCATGATAATCTTTATGTTTTCAATTCCACTCTCAATTTCCTACAGGAAGTGTTTCCTCTCTTAGGCCCTGCTACACCAAAAGAAAGGTAGCTTAATAGTACAAATAAAGGCACTGTTCCTGATTTGTGGTCAGTCCAAGATCAACTCACCCCACGGTGGGCTCCCCATCGCGTTAGATTTCCTGGAGCATACTTGCATTCAATCATTTGAGTGTGTCCTGGCATACAACATTCTCTTGCAAATTTTCTGATTATAATGTTCTGTATTCTTTTGACTCTTGGAAGCGTGTTAGTCTCACATGGTCAAAAAATAAAACTGACTCAAGTGTGTGTGAAAATACCCTAAAATTCAACACAAATAGAGGCAAATTAAAACTGCATTGTGAAAGAATAACATAACCCCATTGAAATAACTGATTTAAGAAAATGCTTGACAAAGTTCGTTGTTCTAATTGTAAGTACAAAAAGAAGAGGAAACAAATCTTAAACTCTATGTATGAGGGTTTTTTTTTTAGAGCTAAGGCTGCAGGAATTCTGAGATTTTGTGTGAATTTTAGGATTGGGAAAATGAGTGTGTGTGAGCGCGTGTGTTGTTGGAAACAGGCTGTCACTGTAAGAGAAAGCAGGTAAAGAATAGTCCTGTTGGTGTTGATGGGAATTGGAGGCATCAGTATGAAATTATACATATGTAATTGTATAGGCCGGGCGCGGTGGCTCACGCTTGTAGTCTCAGCACTTTGGGAGGTTGAGACGTGTGGATCGCTTCAGGTCAGAAATCGAGAACAGCCTGGCCAACATGGCAAAACGCCGTTTCTCCTAAAAATACAAAAATTTGACGGGTGTGGTGGCCGCCCCTGTAGTCCCAGCTATTCGGGAGGCTGAGGCAGGATAATCGCTTGAATTCGGGAGGCGGACGTTGCAGCGAGCCAAGATCGCACCACCGCACTCCAGCCTGGGCGACTAAGACTCTGTCTCAAAAAATAAAAATAGTACATTTTCCCTACAGATCTGTCTGCTAACTGAGCCTGGAAGAAATACCTTAGAAACAATGAGCAAGATGACTCTATATTTTGATTTTCAAATACCATTCTCTACTAAAAGGAACCAGAGATACTAATAGAAAGTAGCTACTAGTGTCAACTACACTGACTCCAGGACTGTGCCAGGGAAACTACAAGATGAACCTAAAATATCTTGCTGTGCCAGAATGATGGGGATGATTTAAAAGAACACAGAAGCTCCGGGGTGGCTCACGCCTGTAAACCCAGCACTTTGGGAGACCGAGGCGGGCGGATCACCAGAGGTTAGGAGTTCCAGACCCGCCTGGCCAACATGGTGAAGTCCCGTCTCTACTAAAAATACAAAAAATGGCCTGGCATGGTGGCTCATGCCTCTAATCCCAACTACTTGGGAAGCAGAGGTAGGAGAATCGCATGAACCCGGGAGGCGGAGGTTGCAGTGAGCCGAGATCGCACCACTGCACTCCAGCCTGGACGACAGGGCAAGACCTGTCTCAATAAATAAATAAATAATAAAGTACATGAGAAAAATAATAGTGTGTGTGTGTGTTTAGCCGTAAAGAGAGAGGAGAATCATTGTGGCAAAATATCGGGAATTGGTAAATATGAGTAACTTGTGTGTGGCAGTTCTTTGTATCATTTTTGCAACTTTTCTGTAGGTTTGAAATAATTTCAAACTAAAAAGGTTTTTCTAAATTCTCCCTTCTCAAATTTCTTTTCCCTCTTCCTTCAAGGGCTGTACTCTTCTATCAAGAGTAACGTAGATGGATACTAAAACAGAAGGGTCAGTACCGTCTCGGGGGATTTAGGTGCAGGTGAGGAGGTGAGAAAGTGGAATTCCCAGCTCTTAGAAACGAAGACCCAGGAGCGTGGGTCGCTGCCCGTCCTTACCCTGCCAGCGCCTGGGCCAGCACCATGGTCGCGAAACCCAGCATGGATTTCGTCTTGGGGACGCTATGGCTCCAGTTCTGACACTCAAGAAACGATGGATGGAGAGGAGAACGAGGACCACCTTCGAAAAGAGTTCGAGAGGGAAGCAGGGACGCGGTGGGGTGCGCACCTGCGGCGGCGGCGGCAAAGGCGGAGGAGAAGCGAAGTGGGCGAGCGCCCGAGGCTGCCAGAGGATCTGGGTGGGCCGGAAGGCGGAGTGCAGCCCGGAAGCCCATCTCCGCTGCTTTTCCTCGCTGTCCGCGATAAGCGAGAGGGCTCATTCCCTGTTGGAGAAGTGAGCTGAAAACACTTTCCTCGCAAGATCTCCCTCGTTTTGCTCAAGGCAGTCGCGGCGTTGAGAACGCCTCGCAGCTCCTTTACTGGCTGGGGCACTGGGGAGAACGGGTACCCTTGAGTTTTGGTACAGGCGGGTGGTATTAGTGGCTTCCAAGGAAACGACAGAGAAGCCGCCTATTTCCAATCCCTACTGTTAGCGAGGGGGAGAGTGTTTAACCGGGAAGAGAGACCCTCCCGCTGAAGCATAGGGTCCTTTGTTATAGATAGGAAGAGTGTTCTTTGCTTTTGTTTTTGTTATAGCTTGTCAAGCTTGGAATACAAGGCATGAAAAACAAGAAAGGTAAGGCAGTCCCAGTATATTTTAAACTTACGAGGGTTTTCAGAAGGAGTACTACCTTGTTTTTATGGAATTCAGGGTGTCCAGATTTCAACCTACCTAGCAGAGTGAAGCTCTATGAGTCTAATATCTTGGCTTTCTTCCACATCAGCAAGCCTCTGAAATTCGGGTTTCTTTCTGGACAATATCACCTACATTTTGCAGTCGGCTCCTATATTGCCTGCATCCAACTCGTGGAAGCAAGAACAGTGGGAAAAGCCAAGGTTACCACATAAAAGAAGATCCTTACATGAGACAAGTGTAAATAAAGCAGCAGCTGAGGTGTGTGTAGAGGAAGAGACAAACGTGAAAATGTAGAAAGTGGATACAGAATTTTTTCCAAGGAGGAAGAGGAATGGTCTGCTCACAACGAGGAACTCTCTACTTACTGCTGCAAAGATACTTTTATTACATTTCATGCATATGCTGGATTTTAACAACCAGAACATTGGTAGACTTGGTGGGGGCTGGAGAGACAGCAGTCACTCCCAACCCTGAGGATGAGTCCTCACCCTGAGGGTGGAGAGAAAATGATTACTCTCTGCCACAGGGCTTAGAATCGTCCAAGCCTGGGTTTCAAATTGCAAGGCCCAAATAGCTTGAGAGAGCTCCAGGTATTTCAGCTCAAAAGAGTCTCCTGGTTCAAGAGAATTCCTGTGAGTTCCTCCACAGGAAAATCAGTCTGTTGTGTGTGACCTGAAAAGTTGCATAAATATTCAAAGGGTCAAAGAAATGGTAAATTCAACCCCATCCCTGACATAAGACGAATACAAACCTCACTGGCTTTCCTAGGTTTGTGTTTTTGATTGAGAATAGGCAGGGAACCCCAGGACCAACTCTTCCTCCTCAGCAGGTGCCTGACCCTGGGACTTCCTGAAACTTCTAGAGCAGTGCTTCACAAACTTTAGCATCAGAGTCACTTGAAGGCTTATTCAAACACAGGAGGCTGAGCCCCATCCATACTCAGCAGTTCTGATTCAATAGACCTAAGGTTGGGCCTGAAATTTATTATTCTGATTGCAGCACCCTAATCCTCCACCCCTTGCTCTCCTATGCAGTGTCCACTGTGGCTAACATGCCACTGTTTGCCTGGAGAGAACCAATGGATACCAGGAAATTAAAGAAGAAAAAGTATGAAACAAAAAGAAAATACATGGCATGTGTGTATTACCTTCCTCCAAAAAATGTGTCTCAAAACAAACATATGATTGGTCTGGAGGCACACACACAGCCAGTCCTCAGCTAAGCAGGTTTCATCAGACAGTATCCCTCCTGGATGCTGGTTATAGATATTCTCACTGGACAAAAGAATCAAGTAAGGTCATGTTAGCCTCATAGAGTGTATCTATCATGCCAGCCTGATAGGCTGGTGGACTAGGAACAAACATCATACTCTCTTGCCTCTCAAAGACACTTTAATTCAATAGGAAATATGTACAGAGAGAACAGCAGTTTTGAAACCATACACCGTTGGAAACCATAAAAGGTTTCATGAGTGCATAGGATTTCTTGGGAGTTCCCTCTCCAAAAAAAGCGATGTAATCAGGTGGATCGAGAAAGAACATGAAATGTTTGTTTGTTTTTTCCCAAGGCAGGAAGTGCCCAACACACCTGCGATCTACTTATCTTTTAGTCTGCATGTATTTTGCATTGTGACAGAAAACCTTTTCCTAGTTTTTCATATGGGGCCTCCGTTTGCTCTTACCAGAAGTTCCCAGGCAATATTTTATTGTAAAGAGGAAAATGGAGTGACTGAGGAAATACAGGAATACAAATCAGTCTTATGGAACATCAGTAGGGAATGTTGATCCGTATTGGTTTCTGCTTCTCGCACGTTGAAGGCCTCTAATTCCCCGACAGTCTTCGTGTGGTTATCCAGCGCCCTGCCACTCCCATCTCAAGCGACTGGAGAGCCACAGCCCTTGTCTCAGTACTGGATCACACTGGTAGCTGTGTTCTCCGCGCAGGTAGACAGGGAGAGACTGGTGGAGAAATCAGTGAACAGAGGCTTTCGCTCTGTTCTTTGGCCCAGAAAACAAAAATAACTTAAAAAAAAATAGATGCCTTCAGGGCGCTTTTCTCCCTTCTCCTTTGTCTTTGCGTCTCATTAATCATAGTACAAAATGGGAGTGAAAGCGAGCCGCCTGTGAATGTGCACGCTTTTGTTTGGGTTCAAGAGACCGTGTTGCGATCCCGTTCTTCTTTCCCCCTCATTTCTTGTTTGTCTCCCTTCTGCTGTGGCAATCGCCTTTGGTGATGTCGAGGTTCACAGCATAACCAGTGGAGATAGTTCAAGGCTGAACATTGGGCTACACTTTTACTGTCTATATGTGCAGAAATAGGATAGAAAAACGTGAGGAGGCAGAAGTCTGTCGCTTGAAAACTACCAGAGCAAAACCATCGCTTGGAGGTGTCGGGGATCGAACCCGAGGCCTCATACATGCAAAGCATGCGCTCTACCACTGAGCTACACCCCCTCACTATAAGGTCTCTTTGTAATAATTTTCAGGAGGTAACTTTCATTTCCTGAGACTCCGTGAGCATGCTGGTAGTAGTGGTCAGTATTATGGAGTGCGGAGAGCTGTTCTGAGCAGGAGATACTTGGTACTAATGGGGGATACAGATTCTTTAGAATACTGTGTAGGACTTGAAACGAAAAACGAAAGATTAGAAAAGTGTCAGATAATAACCACAAGAAGTTTCCATTGTGGCCTCAAGACGTTGAGTTCTTAGGGTCTCCTTCTATTATGCTTGGCAAGAATCAAGTTCAGGTTTTCGTTTCTTTTAATTTCTCCCAGATACGACACAAAGCCATTGAAATTCAGCCTTTTCCTGCCTAAAACGCTTCATAATTGTTGTTTGCTCAATCGGAATATTAAAGATAAGATTTGATGGAGGAAAGCCACAATCAGAAGAAAACCTGACAGCGATGCACTTAGCATTTTTTCATAAGGGTCCTTAGCTGGCGTGGTGTCTTACGCCTGTACTCCCAGCTACTCTAGAGGCTGAGGCACGAGGATCGCTTGAGCTCGGGAGTTAGTTGTTGTAGGGAGCTATGACTGTGCCACTGTCCTCCAGCCTGGGCAACAGAGAGAGAAGGGAAGGGGAGGGGAGGGAAAGGGGGAGAAGAGGGGAGACGAGGGGAGAAGAGGGGAGGGGAGGGGAAGGGATTCATAAGGCGTGAATGAAAAACAGCTATGGGGATGGAGAGAAGGGTTGAATTATGAGAATAAGACCGAAGATAAATACAAACAGGGTTGAAGAATGCTTTAGAAAAACAAACACAGCAGGTGCAGAAAAGGGGAGAGGTTTTAACAGCTCTTTTAGGAATGAGAGATAGACTGGAAGATGGAGAAGATGAGTTAGTTTGGCTCATACTCAATTTAAAGTATCTGTGGGGCACACTTGTGAGGATGTTTCTCAGAGAATTCAGGCAATTAACTCTGTCTCTAGCCTGGGATTTGTAAGCATTAATAGTAGTAGACACATTACATGGAGGATGGATAAAGACTAAAAAAGTGTACTTTGAGATATGGAAATTACAAACCTATTCGTGATATTTGTAGTGAACAAACAAGTTTGTTTGTTCTTGAATTCAAAAGTTCTTGAATCTTGGGACTTATCGTGTGTCCTTTGAATTACATAAGAAGATGAGAAGAAAACCTATTTCTCAGCACCAAATTTCTAGTGACTATTAACTCTTTCTCATTCTGGTTTGCCTATATAAGAGCCTTTGCCAATGTTAATAAAGTAACATTGATGGCTTTCAAAATTGCCAAATTGCAAGTTGTATGTCAGACTTGGCTTTTCAGTTGGCTGATGGGATTTCTAGAATAAAAATAGGAAACACTGAGTGATAGACTTCACTGAAGGAGAAACTAGAGAATTGTTATAGACAAAATTGATGTGTATTCATGTGTGTTTGCCTGCCTGACTGTGTCTGTGTGTGTGCATGTAAATGATGGGAAGGATTATCTTGGCTCTTTGATGCTGTAAAAGCAATATTAGGACAGTTTGCAGAAACTCTCCTTCATCTTTATGTTGTGTTACACCCAGAGAAACTTGGCTGTCTATTGGATTCTTGGGAATTCATAATAAGAAGGTTGCCTCATAAAAATGGGAGAATTTTAAATAATTAAATATCTGTAGCTATCTTCAGACTATCTACCAGCAACACGATTGAAACATGTTTTTTGTGTGAAATCTGTAGGATGAGCTCATTTAACATAGCATTCTTCTGAGAAATTAAACATTTAATTTTGAAGACAGAACACCCTGTCATACACACTCAATTTCGAAAACCTAAAAATATATAAAGTATATGTTTAAATCTGCACTGTCCAATATGGTTACCATTAGCCACATTGGGTATTGAGTACTGAAAATTGCCTAGTCTAAGTTAAGATGTGTTGAAAGTGAGAAATATATACCAGATTTCAAAGATGTAATTTTTTTTTCATGGAGTCTCGCTCTGCCACCTAACCTGGAGTGCAGTGGTGCAATCTTGGCTCACAGCAACCTCCACCTGTTGGGTTCAATCCATTCTCCTGCCTCAGCCTCCTGAGTAACTGGGACTACAGGCGCGCACCACCATGCCTGGCAATTTTTCTTTTTCTTTTTTTTTTTTTTTAGTAGAGACAGGGTTTCACCATGCTGGCCAGGCTGGTCCCAAACTCCTGACCTTGTCATCTGCCCTCCTCGGCCTCCCAAAGTGCTGGGATTACAGGCATGGGCCGCCGCACCTGGCCAGATGTAATATCATTTTTTAAACATAAAATGTCTCACTGATAATTTTAAGATTGATTACTTGTTAAAATAATATTTTGGACATGCAAGGTGATTTACATATATTAGTAAAACTGGACATAAAAGATGGAAACAATAGACACTGGGGACTACTAGAGGGGGAGGCGAGAAGGGGAAAGGCTTGAAAAGCTAACTATTGGATACTATGTTCACCACCCAGGTGATGGGATTAATCTCACCCCAACCCCAGCATCATGCACTATACCCATGTAACAAACCTGGACATGTACCCCCTGAATCTAAAATAAAAGTTGAAATTATTATTATTAGTATTATTATTTTGAGACAGAGTCTTGCTCTGTCTCTCAGGCTAGAGTACAGTGGCGCTATCTGGGCTCACTGCAAACTCCTCCTCCAGGTTTCAAGTGATTCTCCTATCTCAGACTCCCAAGTAGCTGAAATTACAGGCATGCACCACCACACCCAGCTAATTTTTGTATTTTTATTAGAGACAGGGTTTCACCATATTGGTCAGGTTGGTCTTGAACCCCTGACCTCAGGTGTTCCGCGCACCTCGGCCTCCCAAAGGGCTGGGATTACAGGTATGACCCACCTTGCCTATCTAAAAGTTGAAATTGTTAAAAAATTATATAAAATAAGTATTGCCTGTTTATTTTTTAAATGTGACTACTAGAAAATTTAAAACTACAGAAGTGGCTCTCATTTAAGATTTGTATTAACTTTTTTAAAAATTCTTTTTATCCCAGAAGCTAAAGCAGAAGACTTGTAGTATCTTTTGATTGGACAGCATTGTCTAGAGACGATGTTATCTATTTAGGTGCTGTTCTGGGAGAATCCCAGAGCCAAAGGACATGGAGCATGGTCTGCCAGTAATTAGGTTTCATGCCGCGAGTGGACTTGACTAAATGCATTTCCATGCATGATCTCCTTAGACCTTTGCAACATCCCATTTTACATAATCATTATTAGCCTCATTTTTAAGGTATTGAATGAGAGACGAATCATGCTTAGAATTACCCTAGGCGTTTCATTTCAACAAAATGTAAAGGAATCACTACTGTGCTAGGCAAGAAAACATTCAATCCTGCCATTTGTCTAATCAAATGTTTCCTTTTTTTTTTCTTTTTTTAAGACAGAGTCTTGCTCTTGTTGCCTAGGGTGGAGTGCAATGTTGCGATCTTGGCTCACTGCAACCTCCGCTTCCCGGGTTCAAGGGATTCTCCTGCCTCAGCCTCTCGAGTAGCTGGGATTACAGGCATCCACCACCACACCCAGCTAATTTATTATTATTATTATTATTATTGTTATTATTATTATTTTGTATTTTTAGTAGTGACAGGGTATCACCATGTTGGCCAGGCAGGTCTTAAACTTCTGATCTCAGGTGATCTACCCGCCTCAGCCTCCCAAAGTGCTGAGATTACAGGCGTGAGCCACCACGCCCAGCCTATCAAATATTTCTTAATGAAATAAAACACAGGCTTCTGAGTTGAGAAAGCCTCAGTGACTTAAAGGGTAAAGTATCTGATTCCTAGTTCCTGTACAGTCAATGTCCCCACCCTGAGGTTGGTCTCTCATTTGGTACCAATTTTCCTTTCACAATTTGATGCAGTTCTGATGTTGGAGTACTGTAGTTTATTGTCTCCTCACACAGTATGCAGGTGTTAGGGGAAAATAACACTGAAAATGAAACACCAATTTGAAAGAAGAAAAGATATTAAAAATGACCAAAAAAAATCAGACAAAAAAAAAAAAAAACAGGACAAAAAAGGCCCATTATCCCAACACAAAATTTCAAGAGAGGAGTTGAAGTAAAAAAAAGGAAAATGGGGCACATCCACCTGAGTCTTGACAGAATAATTAATTTAGAAATACTTATTTTTGACTGGACGCAGTGGCTCACATCTATAATCCCAGCACTTTGGGAGGCCGAGGCAGGTAGATCACGAGGTCAGGAGTTGGAGACCAGGCTGGCCAACATGGTGAAATCCCGTCTTTACTAAAAATACAAAAATTAGTCAGGCATGGTGGTGGACGCCTGTAATCCCAGCTGCTTGGGAGGCTGCAGCAGGAGAATTGCTTGTGCCGGGGAGGCGGAGGTTGCAGTGAGCTGAGATCGTTCCACTGCACTCTAGCATGGGTAACATAGCAAGATTCTGTCTCAAAAAAAAAAAAAAAAAGAAAAAAGAAAGAAAGACTTATTTTTGTTCTTTCCTGGATACCAATGAGGAAATAACTTAAGATTTGGAAATTCTAGGCAAGGTTTCCAGGCTAAAGAAATGTCCTGTCAGTAAGAAACTTAAAAATATTCCTGTAATTAGGACTGGTGCGGTGGTTCCCACCTGTAATCCCAGCACGTAGGGAGGCAGAAGCGGGCAGGTTGCTTGAGCCCAGGATTTCAAGAACAGCTGGGGGAACATGGTGAAACCCAGTTTCTACAAAAAAAAAGTACAAAAGAGAGAGAGAGAAAGCCAGGCTTGTTGTTGCATTTCTGTAGTCTCAGCTACCCAGGAGGCTGACATGGGAGGATCGCTTGAGTCCAGGGAGGCTGAGGCTGCAGTGAGCTGTGATCATACCACTGCACTCCAGCATGGGTGACAGAGTGAGACCCTGCCTCAAAAAAACAAAACAGGGCCGGGCGCGGTGGTTCACACTGTAATCCCAGCACTTTGGGAGGCCGAGGTGGGTGGATCACGAGGTCAGTAGATCGAGACCATCCCAGCTAACATGGTGAAACCCCGTCTCTACTAAAAATACAAAAAATTAGCTGGGCGTGGTGGTGGGCGCCTGTAGTCCCAGCTACTCGGGAGCCTGAGGCAGGAGAATGGCGTGGACCCGGGAGGCGGCGCTTGCAGTAAGCCGAGATCGTGCCACTGCACTACAGCCTGGGCGACAGAGCGAGACTCCGTCTCAAAAAAAAGAAAGTTATTTTCCCAGCAGTTTAACTGCAGAGCTATGGAGTTGACTCAAGATACAAACCGAGGTGTTTCTTTCTTTTTTTTTTTTTGAGACGGAGTCTCGCTCTGTCACCCAGGCTGGATTGCAGTGGTGCGATCTCAGCTCACTGCAAGCTCCGCCTCCCGGGTTCACGCCATTCTCCTGCCTCAGCCTCCTGAGTAGCTGAGACTACAGGCGCCCGCCACCGCGCCCCACTAATTTTTTTGTACTTTTAGTAGAGACGGGGGTTTCACCGTGGTCTCGATCTCCTGACCTCGTGATCCACCCGCTTCGGCCTCCCAAAGTGCTGGGATTACAGGCCTGAGCCACTGCGCCCGGCCAAACCGAGGTTTTTGGAATTGCAAAATGTTTCTTGAATATACCACTACCACATATATACACTCATACAGCATAATAGTTCTTCTACAGGTTTCTTCATAGTTCTTGTGATTTAAAACACCCCTGCCCAACACACATAAATAACATCAAATCAGAAATGAATTGTAATTGCCACAGTCTATAGCATATTGGAATTTCTTAGGTTTTAAAATTAGTAACTTTCTAGATTTAAGATTTTAAATAATTTACATACCATCAGTTAACACTTCATGGAAGACTTCAGTGGAGAGAGTGATACAAATATACATACATATATATATACATTACCTTTATGGAATTTTCAAAAAGCAAAAAATGGGACTTATATATAGACCTCTGGGATTGGTGTGCAAGTGTTGTATAAAGGAAAGACAATTATGCAACAACCAAAAGGTATCTGCCGAAACCCGGGATTGAACCAGGGACCTTTAAGATCTTCAGTCTAACGCTCTCCCCACTGAGCTATTTCGGCTACTCTGGAGCTGTCCCGTTGGTCATTTCTTCAAATTATAAAAACTGCAATTTGTAAGGTCAGTGTATCTTCCAACGCCTAATTCGGTTGTCTTCAATATCACCCGTCATTCACTCACCTCCCCCCAATCCAAAAATATAAATTCTGCTGTAATTTATGTATGAAAATAGGATCCAATTTTCCCCGGCAAAAGACGGGAAAGAAAAGACGAGACGGCCGGGCACGGTGGCTCACGCCTGTAATCTCAGCATTTTGCGAAGCCGTGGAGGGTGGATCACTTGAGGTCAGGAGTTCAAGACCAGCCTGGCCAACATGGTGAAATCCCTTCTTTACAAGAAATATAAAAATTAGCCAGGAGAGGTGGCGCACGCCTGTAGTTTCAGCTACTTCGGAGGCTGAGGCAGGAGAATCGCTTGAACCAGGGAGTTCGAGGCTGCAGTGAGCCGAGATCGCGCCACTGCACTCCAGCCTGGGCGACAGCGAGACTCTGTCTCTAAAAAAAAAAAAAAAAAAAAAAAGGCGAGGAATAGGTCAAATCAGCAAGATAGATGCTCCCATGCTTGGTCACCTTGGAAACACCGCTCAGAAAACTAAAGGAAACTATCTAAAACTAAAATGAAATTATCTAGACTTTTCCTTTTCTCTCCTTTTGGCTCTTTTTTGTTTTGTTTTCTGTCTTGCTCTTCAATGACATGGCAAAAAGGAACAGAAGATTATTGAACACGTTAACCTGGTAGTAGGTTTATAGCTTCCGACTGAAGAAATCCTGAGCGAGCCAATTCTTTTTCTCTGTTTCCTTCCTTTTACTGATCTAGTGCTAACACATCCACCTTAGGTGGTACAGAGAGCCAGGGGTGGAAAAGGCAAGCATATGTTTATTTTAGTGTGACCACGTTATATATATATATATATATATATATATATATATATATATATATATATATATACACACACACATATAAATATGAAATATATATAAATTAAAAATGTAAATATATTGTTGATATAGATATTATATATAATATAAAATATACATGTATCTCTCTCTATATATATATAGAGAGAGAGAGAGAGAGAGAAGATTCCAGCGAGTGAGAGAGAGAGAGAGAGAGACAGGGTCCCACTCTGCCAGCCTGGAGTGCAGTGGCAATCTCCTCTCATTGCAACTTTCGCCTCCCGGCTCAATCCGTTCTCCCACCTCAGCCTAGAAATTCTTATATCACTTCAAAAGTGTGAAAACATTGGACTCCTCTTGTTAAATAACTTAGAAACAATTTCAGAGTTTACCGAATTTCAGAAACAATCCTCTCTGGAATGAGGAAATAGCTACAGCCAACAACGACTTGCAAATTGAATTTTAATAAAACCGTCCCTATGTCTGGACAGTTTTCAAACTCAGTCTCCTATTCCGAGAGAGTCCAGGCTTTCTGTTTTTAGCCAAAATTTGTTGGGAGGGTCAATTAAAATATTTTTTGAATAATTTCCTCAAAAATTTTAGATTCTCTTACAGGCTTTTTTCTTTTTTTCTCTCCCTCTTGTAAGGCCCGAACCTCCCCAGACAGGAAACAACATTCCTCCAGGTTTATCCCCGCCGCCTGACGTCTCTCCCCATCTGGACGCAGCCTCAGCCTATGCTGCAGAAAACGTTTGAAGTTGAGCATATAGAGAAGGAAAAAAAAAAAAAGGAAAGTGATGTGGAAATTAAAACAGTGGCTACATATAAATCTCAGCACAGTGCTTAGAATGTGTGTAAATGGTTCTAGGAGTGCACTGCACTATTGTGAAAAGTTCATTCAGAAGTAAACGGGAGGGAAGGTGGAGAGGAGCCGAGGGCCAGCTGGCGGAGAGAGGGAAGAGGCGGGGTGCGGTGAAGTGGAGAAAGAAACATAAAAAGGGAGAGGGGTAGAGGACAAGGAAAAGCATCCTCAAGATTATTAGGATTTGGATGGACGGGATGTTAGAGTGAGTCTAAGCACTCACCTCTCCGTCGCTTCTTCTGGATATGAGGGAAGAGAGGTAGGGAGGTAGGCTAGACCAGGAAAGGGACCTGGTTCTTTTCGTCCAGACTGCCACGGCTGCGAGAGCGCCTCGCCGCTCTTTCCATCGCTCGATAGACAGGCTAGGCTCTTTGGAGGAGCACGTGATGTTGCGTTTTTTGTTTGCGGGTTCGGGAACCGCTGATACTGATAGCTTCTGAGGGAGCTGCAGGGATTTCCCGATTTCCTGAGTGTCTGTGTTGAGAGTTAAAAGCGGAATCTGCCGACAGCTTCGAGACTGAGCAGGACAGTGGAAACGTCTAATTTTATTAGGCTTGAAATGCAGAAGATGAGAAAGAAAGTTCCCGTTTGTTTGCTCCACATGTTTCCTTTAGAATGAAGCCGATTGGAAGTCAACTTCACCCTGAAGAAATTCCTCCTGGCGTTTACAATGAGCTTCTTTACTCCTCAAGTCCAGCTCTTGGCTCAAAAGGGCTCTGCAGGTTGGTACAAAGGCTGCGGAAAGGCGAAGTCGCGGTACAATCGGTGTTAACTACATGTGCAGCCACCGTCTTCTTAGTCTTATTACAGGTGCAGAGGTAATATAGGTGAATCCCTCACAAGTTGAGTGGGTTGACCTCAAAATTGACTTTAGCGATGGCTTGTGACCACCTGGTAGGTGGTGGACCATTACAGCGTTTGGAAAATGAGTAAAAGAAAGGATGCATACGGAAGCCCCACTAGCTTGCTTGGCTTCTGCAGATGCAGAGAGAGGTCGTTTTTCTGCCTTCTGGGTGTTGAGTAACTTAATTTTTTATCTTTTGTTTAAATGAAATAGAGCTGAAAATAGAAGGCGATTTCCTTTTAACGAGATAGTATTGAGATGCTTGCAGAGTATCCCCGCGTGGATTCTGCTTAGCTCTGTGATACCAGCATCAGAAACTGTGCAAAGAGCTCTAATCTGGAGGTGTGGGTTGTTCAGTAGCTTAGAAAGAGGTTATTCCTGGAGAATAAGTGCAGCAGGTAGAAAAGGATCCATTGGGATTGGGAGAATAAAAGTTCATTCATTATTTTTATTGATGGAAAACAAAGAAATGAGCTTTACCCTATACTGATCTTGGTTCCTGGAGTTCCGAGTGCTTGCATCTCAGGGCAGAAACTTCCTTAGAGGACCCAGAGAAATATGTTCCCCCTACCAAATGTCAGCTGAAGTGACTGTGATCTTTTTCTCATTTGTCATTATATTTGCCATTTATTGTATTCTTGTAGTTAAATAGTTTACATTAAGTTTTAGAGTTTGTGGGTTTCTAATGGAAAAAGTGACCACCAGCACATCAGGTCCTCAGCCACTGGCAGTGAAATCTTTTAGTGAAAGCTTGTAGGGCTTCTGCAACCTGGGTTAGAAGAAGAAATACAAGGCCAAGCATGGTAGCACACGCCTGTAATCCCAGCACTTTGGAAGTCTGAGGTGGGCAGATCACCTGAGGTCGGGAGTTCTAGACTAGCCTGACCAACAGGGAGAAACCCCCATCTCTACTAAAAATACAAAATTAGCCAGGCATGGTGGTGCATGGTTGTAATCCCAGCTACTCAGGAGGCTGAGGCAGGAGAATCACTTGAATCCGGGAGGCAGAGGTTGTGGTGAGCCAAGATTGTGCTATTGCACTCCAGCCTGGGCAACAAGAGTGAAACTCTGTCTCAAACAAATAAACAAACAAACAAACAAACAAACACCACACACAGGAAAGGACTTGCGCCACGTGGTTCTATGGTTTCTGATTATTTCATTTACAACTAGAAATAGGCTGGAGGGCCAGGAGTAGTACTTGCTTCCATAGTGCGTGGTTCACCTTAGTGACTGCTGGGACTGCTTAGAAAGAATAGGTGGATAATCGTAAGCAGCAAATAACCTTAAGTGAATGAACACGAATTACCTCTCTGTATGAGAGAGAGATGTAGAGGTCAACCCAAATATCTTGACAAGGCAGGACATTCTGGACAGCTGGGGAAGGTCATGGAGCTCTTCTTACAGTGCCACAGGGAAGAAAATGGACCTCTGGAGGTACTGGGGAATCAGCCCAAGACCTCGTGCATGATAAGTACACTCTCTACCACTGAGCTATACCCCCTCATACCTCCTGTGTATTTGGAAAACTGGTGACCACCATTATCTGAGTATGTGCTCTATGTCATAAAGACAATTACCATGTGTTTCCAATTCCACTGTTTATGATTTCCCTATATCTAAGTGCCCCCTCTCTTAGGCACGGTTACATCAAGAAAAGGTACGTTAACAGTAAAAAGAAAAACACTGTTCCTGATTTGGGATCAGCAAATCTATTTCCAAATAGAGCATTTCAAAAGTATAACATAACCACATTGAAAATTCAGGAAAGAATTGACCTAAGAAAATGGTTTATACATTGTTCTCATTGTAAAAAGAAAAAGAACAGCAAGCATATCTTAAACTCTATGTATCAGGAATATTTTCTGTAATGCTAAGGCAATAGCAATTCTGATATTTTGTGTGAATTTTAGGATTGGAAAAATGAGCATGTGTGCGCCTGTATGTTGTTGGAACCAGGCTCTCACTGTGGGAAAGGAGGAAGGTAAAGAATAGTCCTATTGGTGATGATGGGAATTAGAGGCATCAGTATGAAATTATACACTTAATTGTAAAATTTCTCCACAGATCTCTCTGCTAATTGGGCCTAGAAGAAATGATACCTCAGATGCAATGAGCAAAGATAATTCTATATATTGATTTTCAAATACCACTCCCTACTAAAAGGAACCAGCGATACTGATAGAAAGTAGCTACTGGTGTCAACTACACTGACTCCGGGACTGTGCCAGGGAAACTACAAGATGAACCTAAGATATCTTGCTGTGCCAGAATGTAGGTGCTCAGAATTGATGGGTATGATTTGAAAGGACAGAGAAGCCAGCTTGAAAGGGATCTCAATGGCCAAATCTGACACATTTTGAGCATTAATGATGACAATAAGTGATTATCAATCTTGGGAACTTAAACACATAAATATGGAAGATGGGAAGATTTTCCTTACAGTTGTGTGCCAAGTGATAAATGTGGAAGTAAGGATAAAATTAGAAAATCCTCATTTGGGCTGGGCGTGGTGGCTCACGTCTGTAATTCCAGCACTTTGGGAGGCCGAGGCAGGGGGATCACCTGAGGTTGGGAGTTCGAGACCAGCCTGACCAACATGGAGAAACCCCGTCTCTACTAAAAATACAAAACTGTGGTGAGCCGAGATCACACCATTGCACTCCAGCCTGGGCAAGAAGAGCGAAATTCTATCTCAAAAAAAATAATAATAATAATAATAAATAATGAGAAAAACTGACATCACATGCCTCTTGGTGTGATAGAGGGTAACATGATTTCTGTGACATTTCCATGACCTGAATGTAACCATGACTACACAAATTAAGAAACATTCAACAAAACCACTGGCATATGCTCTTCAAAAACATATTCATGAAAGACAAGAAGATTAAGAATCTGTTCCAAAGTGAAGGAGACTGAAAAGTCAAGACAACTAGATTCATATGTGATTCTGAAATGGCACCTAGTTTGGGAGAGAAATTCCTATAAAAGATTTTATTGATACAATTAAAATTTTTATAGACTGTATATTAGAGAATACTATTTTATCAATGTTAAGTTCTCTAAATTTGATAATTGTGCTGTGGTAAGAAATTGACCTTGTTCTTAGGAAATACACATTGAAGTATTTAGGAATAAAAAGATATAATGTCTGAAAATCATTATCAAATAGTTTAGAGAAATAATTTTTGTCATATGTACATATACATATATATACACACACACATACACACACACACATATATATTCCACTGTTGCTGATTGGTTGTTGAGGTGAGGAAGAGGCAAGACCGTGTTCTGAAATAATGTCAAGATTTGGACGATATGTGTTTCTCAAATGGTTCCCATTCCATTTTAAATGTTGCTAGGCTGAGACAAAGATACAAATTCCCCAATTTATATTAGAATTTAGCAGGTAGTTTATTTTGTTTTGTTTTGAGACAGAGTTTTGCTCTTGTTGCCCAGGCTGGAGTGCGATGGGAGGATCTTGGCTCACTGCAAACTCTGCCACCTGGGTTCAAGCAATTCTCCTGCCTCAGACTCCCAAGTACCTGGGATTACAGGTGTGTGCCACCACTCCCGACTAATTTTGTATTTTTAGTAGAGATGGGGGTTTCACCATGTTGGTCAGGATGGTCTCAAACCCCCAACCTGAGGTGATCTGCCCGCCTCGGCCTCCCAAAGTGTTGGGATTACAGGCGTGAGCCACTGTGCGCAGCCAACTCCTTTATAATCTTATAAGACCACCGTAGGATATGTGGTCTGTGGTTTACTAAAATGTCAACATGTAGCACATTACTGCACTCATATCAGATTTTTGGCCTCCAGAAGTGTGAAAGAATAAATTTCTGTTGTTATAAGCCATCTAATTTGAGATAATTTGTTACAGCAGCCATAGGAAACTAATCAATGACAAGCTTATTCTACTCTGCCAACTGCCTTGAGTGGTTTTGAGGCTCATGAAGTCTAAATAACGTAATATTGAAATTAACATCTTGGCAAAATTCAACAGCCCTTCATGCTAAAAACTCTCAATAAACTAGGTATTGATGTGATGTATCTCAAAATAATAAGAGCTATTTATGAAAAACCCACAGCCAATATCATATTGAATGGGCAAAAACTGGAAGCATTCCCTTTGAAAACTGGCACAAGACAGGGATGCCCTCTCTCATCACTCCTATTCAACATAGTGTTGGAAGTTCTGGCCAGGGCAATCAGGCAAGAGAAACAAATAAAGGGTATTCAGTTAGGAAAAGAGGAAGTCAAATTGTCCCTGTTTGCAGATGACATGATTGTATATTTAGAAAACCTCATCATCTCAGCCCAAAATCTCCTTAAGCTGATAAGCAACTTCAGCAAAGTCTCAGGATACAAAATCAATGTGCAAAAATCACAAGCATTCCTATACACCAGTAACAGACAGAGAGCCAAATCATGAGGGAACTCCCATTCACAATTGCTACAAAGAGAATAAAATACCTGGGAATCCAACTTACAAGGGATGTGAAGGACCTCCTCAAGGAGAATTACAAACCACTGCTTAACAAAATAAATGAGGACACAAACAAATGGAAGAACATTTCATGCTCATGGATAGGAAGAATCAATATCATGAAAATGGCCCTACTGCCCAAGGTAATTTAAAGATTCGGTGCGATCCCCATCAAGCTACCAATGACTTTCTTCACAGAATTGGAGAAAAACTATTTTAAAGTTCATATGGAACCAAAAAAGAGCCTGCATTGCCAAGACAATCCTAAGCCAAAAGAACAAAGCTGGAGGCATCATGCTACCTGACTTCAAACTATACTATATGGCTACAGTAACTGAAACAGCATGGTACTGGCACCAAAACAGAGATATAGACCAATGGAACAGAATAGAGCACTCAGAAATAATACCACACGTCTACAACCATTTGATCTTTGACAAACCTGACAAAAACAAGAAATGGGGAAAGGATTCCCTATTTAATAAATGGTGCTGAGAAAACTGGCTAGCCATATGTAGAAAGCTGAAACTGGATCCCTTCCTTACACCTTATACAAAAATTAATTCAAGATGGATGAAAGACTTAAATGTTAGACCTAAAACCATAAAAACCCTAGAACAAAACCTAGGCAATACCATTCAGGACATAGGCATGGGCAAGGACTTCATGTCTAAAACACCAAAAGCAATGGCAACAAAAGCCAAAATAGACAAATGGGATCTAATTAAACCAAAGAGCTTCTGCACAGCAAAAGAAACCACCATCAGAGCGAACAGGCAACCTACAGAATGGGAGAAAATTTTTGCAACCTACCCATCTGACAAAGGGCTAATATCTAGAATCTACAAAGAACTTAAACAAATTTACAAGAAAAAATCAAACAACCCCATCAAACCCCAACAAAAAGTGGGCAAAGGATATGAACAGACACTTCTCAAAAGAAGACATTTATGCAGCCAATGGACACATGAAAAAATGCTCATCATCACTGGCCATCAGAGAAATGCAAATCAAAACCACAATGAGATTCCATCTCACACCAGTTAGGATGGCAATCATTAAAAAGTCAGGAAACAACAGGTGCTGGAGAGGATGTGGAGAAATAGGAACACTTTTACACTGTTGGTGGGACTGTAAACTAGTTCAACCATTGTGGAAGACAGTGTGGCGATTCCTCAAGGATCTAGAACTAGAAATACCATTTGACCCAGCCATCCCATTACTGGGTATATACCCAAAGGATTATAAATCATGCTGCTATAAAGACACATGCACACGTATGTTTATTGTGGCACTATTCACAATAGCAAAGACTTGGAACCAACCCAAATGTGCCTTCTATATGTAAGGCACATGTCCATCAATGATAGACTGAATTTAACAAACGTGGCACATATACACCATGGAATACTATGCAGCCATAAAAAAGGATGAGTTCATGTCCTTTGTAGGGACATGGATGAAGCTGGGAACCATCATTCTGAACAAACTATCACAAGGACAGAAAACCAAACACTGCACGTTCTCACTCATAGGTGGGAATTGAACAATGAGAACATTTGGACACAGGGTGGGGAACATCACACACCGGGGCCTGTCGCGGGGTGGGGTGATAGGGGAGGGATAGCATTAGGAGAAATACCTAATGTAAATGAGGAGTTAATGGGTGCAGCACACCAACATGGCACATGTATACATATGTAACAAACCTGCACGTTGTGCACAGGTACCCTAGAACTTAAAGTATAATGATTAAAAAAAAAAATCTTAAAAAAAAAAGAGGCCGGGCGCGGTGGCTCAAGCCTGTAATCCCAGCACTTTGGGAGGTCAAGACAGGCGGATCACGAGGTCAGGAGATCGAGACCATCCTGGCTAACACGGTGAAACCCGGTCTCTACTAAAAATACAAAAAAAAAAAAAAAAATTAGCCAGGCATAGTGGCAGGCGCCTGTAGTCCCAGCTACTCAGGAGGCTGAGGCTGGAGAATGGTGTGAACCCAGGAGGCGGAGCTTGCAGTGAGCCGAGATCACGCCACTGCACTCCAGCCTGGGCGACTGAGTGAGACTCCATCTCTAAAAAAAAAAAAAAAAAAACAGAAATTAACGTCTTGGGGTCACGTGTTTACTTCTCATGTGACAGGCAACGAAAAGAGAGTAGGACACCTGAATGTGCTTTGTACTAAGGAGTGGTATTAAGAACTCGGAAACTGACCGTTGAAGGTTCTCGGGAGCTGAACCTGAGGCCTCCTATATGTAAGGCACACGTTCTATCACTGAACTACATCTCCTCATGCCAAGAGATATTTGTGTCGTCCTCCAAGTACTATTGCAGTATATGAAAACAATAAAAATATGGAAATAAAAAATAACTTAAAAATTAAAAAGGTGGCCGGGCACGGTAGCTCACGCTTGTAATCGCAGCAGTTTGGAAGTTGGAGGCGGTCAGATCATTTAAGGTCAGAAGTTCGAGGCCAGCCGAGCCAACAAGGTGAAACCCTGTCTCTACTAAAAATACAAAAATTAGCCGGGCGTGATGGCACGTGCCTGTAACCCCAGCTGCTCAGAGGTTGAGGCAGGAGAATCTCTTGAACCTGGGAGGTGGAGGCTGCAGTGAGCGGAGATGGCGCCACTGCACTCCAGCCTTGGGGACAGAGTGAGACTCTGTCTCAAAAAACAAACAAACAAAAACCCAAAAACCCTAAAAAGGTATTTCTCCAATCTAAAGATGTAAAAAATTAAATAAAATGAAAAATAAAGGAATATCTCGTTATATTCTGTGGGTCTCCATTCCTGTGTTCATTGTTTTAGCACTAAGTGTTGGGTTTAGAAGCAGGATTTGTGACCATTTTAAGTTGGAAGACCCCCAGCTGTGGGGGATATTGAAGTTTTGGCAAATAAAGCTTGAAATGGAACGCAGAATACTGGAAACTTGCGTTAGAAAACTGACCAGCTTTTTCCTGAATAAAGCACTTCTGCTATTGCTGTTTGCTTCACAGGAATGGTAAGAGCAAAACTTTGATGAGAAAACCCCAGGTGAGAATGAAAACCACATGCAACCTGTTATTCATTGCCAAGGGGTTCTTGATTGTACTACAGCATGAAGGCAACTGAGGAGGTTCATGGAGTAGTCCAGAATAATGTTCAAGACATGAAATAAATAGCAGATTCAAGGATGGAGAAAAACTTTGAAATTTTGAAAGCACATTCATAGGTAGCTAGACACAGGATTCAAAGACTTATTGGATTTATAGAGCAAGCCAGAAAGTGGGGAATCCATAAAAGAGAGCCTCAACAAACAGGAGGAAAAAAAGCAGAATAGAGATGCTTATTGTTCTTTGAAGGAATGGACAAGATATTAGGAGGAGGAGGTGAGTTTGTTTGGGAACGTGTTGAACTTACCATATTCTTCCGTAGGATCCTGCCCATTGGTGAAACACAGTGAACTTAGCCCAGTGCTCTGATCTGAATACGTGGAGGTGGGAGTGAGTAGAAGGCACCAATACAGTGTGAGTACAATGAGAACTCAAAGTGTCCTTTGAGATATGAAGATCAGAAACTTACTTACTGATAGTTGTGAAAAGCAAAAAAATGAACTTCTTCCTAGCTGATCTTCAACCCTGGAATTCACACTGGTTGTCACCATGGCCTTGAAACTTTCACAAAAGACCCAGAAAGTCTCATTTCCTGGCTAGTTTCCCAGTAGGTGTTATCTTTTCTCATTCATCTTCATTCTCATTCTCCTTATGTATGACTTTACCTATATTGGTAAGCATATTGCTGAGCCCCTTTCGAGGTTGGGAACACCTTATGGTTTGGCAGAATTTCTCTCTGTTGGCTCATAGGGATAGCGGAATAGGTAAGAGGAAACATAATGGCAGGTTTCACTGAAATTGGGTATTTAAGTGTCACCCACAAAACTCTACAAGCTCTGGTGTGTGTGTGTTTGTGCGCGCGCGCGCGCGTGAAAGTGCTGGGAGGATGTGAGAAAAATTATCTAGGCTGTTTTGGCCGGGCGCGGTGGCTCATGGCTGTAATCCCAACACTTTGGGAGGCCGAGGCGGGCGGATCACGAGGTCAGGAGACCGAGACCATCCTGGCTAACACGGTGAAACCCCGTCTCTACTTAAAAAAAAAAACAAAAAACAAAAAATTAGCCAGGTGTAGTGGAGGGCGCCTGTAGTGCCAGCTACTCGGGAGGCTGAGGCAGGAGAATGGCGTGAACCCAGGAGGCGGTGCTTGCAGTGAGCCGAGATCGCGCTACTGCACTCCAGCCTGGGCGACAGAGCAAGACTCTGTCTCAAAAAAAAAAAAAAAAAAAGAAAGAAAGAAAGAAAGAAAGAAAATTATCTAGACTGTTTGATGGTGTGAAAGTTGTTTCCAGAGTCATCATGTAATTATTCTCTAACTTGCACCTGAAGAAACCAAGATACCAGTTAGATTACCAGAAGTTCCCCACAAGGAGGTGTTTCTTTTTTTTTTTTTTTCTGTTTGCCCCAAAGTACAGAGAACACTGTGAGAATTGTTTAAGTTTCTGTAAGCATTCAGAAATATCTATGCATGGGGAGACATAGGATGAGTTCCAAATATATGAGATTTTTCTGATGAACCAACCATTTATCTCAGGAGATAGAACTCATTCATACTCAATTACTCTGCTCAGGGAGCCTGCAGACATGCGAATGACATCTCTAGACAATCTACAACCAGAGAGAAGATTGTAACTGGTTGAGTACTGTTTTCTTAAAGTTGACAAAAAGGTGGAGTAATAGTTTTCATGTAAGGAGCTCTTATATGATAATCTAGAAATTGAATTCACTCTATATTCTTTGGGATTTACATCTTGATTTGTTAACAGGGAGAGGGAGGTTTGATTACACTGTTGTAAGTCTCCCACCTTGATTGAATATTAAAAAAGAATTCCTGAACTAGACAGTAAAGGGTTAAATAATCTTTTTTCTTCAATTAAATATGTCTTTGAAAAGAATAAAACTCTACCTTTTGAGTCAGATTGACTACATGGCCTGATGGATTGTGTCTGCTTCCATATCACTGTGCAGCCAATGGTCCTGCCCACCTGCCGCTTCCCACACATTCACCCAGGGTCTCACGCATGGCCACGTCCTCATTCCTCTCAGAAGTCCTTAATTTTTTTTTTTTTTTTTGAGATGGAGTCTCATTGTGTCACCCAGGCTGGAGTGCAGTGGCATGATCTTGGCTCACTGCAACCTCCGCCTCCGAGGTTCAAGCAATTCTCCTGCCTCAGCCTCCCAAGTAGCAGTGATTACAGGTGGTCGCCACCATGCCCAGCTGATTTTTGAAAGAGGTCCTTAATTTCTCTGTGGAGAAAAATTTTTTTAAAATATGATCTCATTGAAGTATACAACCCCAAAATAAAATATAGTTGAATTTCCAAAATTCATCTACAATGTACCTTAAAATGATTCACTATTGTCCTAGGCCAAAGATAGGCACTGTTTGCTCTCAAAGAAGTACTTCTATCTGTCATATGTCATTTGTTTTCATTGTCCCAAGATGTTTTTGAAATCTCCATCCTATATTTTCTATAGCTTTCTTATATTAAACTCTTGGTTTTTGCATCCTATCCATTTCTACCCTAAATTACAGAGGTGGACTTCCTTAAAGAAGTCTATTGTGGGGAGCAGAAAAAAATATTTCCATTTGGGCCTGAGCCCTAGCATAAAGCAATGGTAATAATTCATGATAATTTTCCTCATGCTTTTACTATATTCCTTTGCAAATTGATTCCCATGATTGAAGCCTGTGAATAATTTTTTTCTGCCACAGTGAGTATAAGTGGCAAAGAGACATTGTGGAACTGTACTTTGAAAATGAGAGAAGAGAGAGAAAAAATGTCAACAGAACAGAAAATTATCTATTTCCCACATCAAGAAAGTCTGGGTCCTCAGTACTAGCTCTGAATCTTTCTTTAAAGAAGTAAACTGAAACCCAAGACATCTTAATCTGAGAAAGAATGACTTTTGGAACTTATTTTCTCCATTGAAAATTTCCTAATCACTTCACAGGGACAGAGGTGGCCTGATATTATATCGGAAACCAAGGATTTCCCAATTCTTGAGATATCCTTCAGCTCACACTTTCATTAGGGTTAGCAAAGGGTTTTGGATCTTTAAAATCTATCACAGGGCTTAGAATACAAAGTGGTGTTAATACAAAAGTTCTTGAAGATTTGGTGGTAGCTGATGAGAAGAGGGCTGTGTATTCTGGAATGATTACAAGGTCTTATTCTATTTAAAATGTTTCAGAGCAAGGATACAAACTTCCCAGTTTACATTAGAAGTTAGCACAGCCTTTATTGCAAAACTTGCGAAAAAGAAAATAAAGGCCGGGAGTGGTGGCTCATGCCTGTAATCCCAGCACTTTGCGAGGCGGGCGGATCATGAGGTCAGGAGTTCGAGACCAGCCTGGCCAATATGGTGAAACCCCGTCCCTAAAAAAAATATAAAAAATTAGCCGGGCGCGGTGGCGCGCGCTTGTTGTCCCAGTTACTCGGGATGCTGAGGCAGGAGAATCGCTTGAACCCGGGAGGCGGAGGTTGCAGTGAGTCGAGATCGCGCCACTGCACTCCAACCTGGACGACAGAGTGAGACTCCGTCTCAAGAAAAAAAAAAAAGAAAATGAAAACTTCACATCATATTCAATCATGAATAGTGATTCAAAAAATATTACTAAGTACAATATTGCCAGAGAGGCAAGGAACAGAGTCAATGATTAGAACACAAAAATGATTCAGCAATAGAAATATATATTTTTTGCAATTATGTTTTCTGTTAGAATAGAAAATTGGGGGAAAAAACACAGCCGCGTATTTATACTATACACCCTTACTCCATCCACGTCAAAGCACGTCATATTGCTTCTTAAATGTGCAAAAGAATCTCTTGTGGATCTTGTTAAATTGCTACTTCTGGTTCAGTACGTCTGAGGTGAAGCTGAGATTTCGCTCTTCTAACAAGCTCTCCGGTGCCACCAACTCTTGTGTGGACCAAGAGTCTGAAAGATATCCTTACGATAGAGGGCGCACCTGTCTTAGGTAAAATTACTTCTGTAACGTCATCTAAGGGAAGTCAAATTATCCGGCAGGAGTGAAGACAGAATAAAACTGGAAATCAGTCCGTGAACTTTGAGATCTTCAGCAGAGCATGCTTCCCAGTGGAGCTATTTCGGCAGAAGTGTGACGCCTCTACATTCATTGATGAAAATAACTTTCTCAATTTCCCAGTTTGGAAGGCTTTGCGTTTGTCAGGGCTCAGCCTGCGATGGATCATGGCTAAACAAGGACCAGAAAAAAAATAAAGGAAATCGGCTGGGAGCGGTGGTGGCTTACTCCTGTAATCCCAGCACTTTGGGAGGCCGAGGCGGGAGGATCACGAGGTCAGGAGATCGCGACCATCCTGGCTAACACGGTGAAACCCTGTCTCTACCAAAAAAATAGAAAAAATTAGCCGGGCGTGGTGACGGGCGCCTGTAGTCCCGGCTACTCGGGAGGCTGAGGCAGAAGAATGGCGTAAACCCGGGAGGCGGAGCTTGCAGTGAGCCAAGATCGTGCCACTGGGCGACAGAGCGAGAGACTCCGTCTCAAAAAAAAAAAAGTAATAAAGAAAATTGAGAGCTTACGTTTTTCTTTTATTAAATATTTCCACATTTATCTTTTATTTCCTACTTTTTAAATAACAATACTCCAAAGGTTAATGAGCTCGTCAATTTGGCGACGCCATTGAAGTTTTGGAATCCGGAGCCGTCTTTGTCTTCCAGCTCCATCTTTTCCACCTTTTGCTTAGGCAGTCCCCCGAGTCGTGTCAAGGCTGAGGAGTAGAAATGGAACAGCACTAATATTAATGGCAAAACCGTTGTGAAATAGGGTTACTTTCTGTTTAAGCAAGGAAAATAAAGTAAAGCAATGGGAAAAAAATTAAAAGCAAAAGAAATGGAGGTGCCGGGGATTGAACCCGGGGCCTCGTGCATGCTAAGCACGCGCTCTACCACTGAGCTACACCCCCGTACTGAAACGGTTCTCTCGAGAGTATATTCAAGATCAGAACCTGACCCTTTTGCTAGGTTTCAGAACCATTAGTTGTAATCAGCCAAGGTCTATTTTATTTAGTTATTTCTGATATCTCAAATTTAGGTTTTGCGTCCCTCTTTGCTGACAGCTGAGCAAACCGCATTCTACACCGAAGGCCCTCTATTGATGGCCCTGGGATTTTTCTGCTCGTCAGTCCGGAGTCACTTACCGGGCACCACTAGAAGAACCCGGGATGAAACATTTTCTCCCGTGTCTTGACTCTCTCCTTTCTTTCACCGCTGCTTTAAAGGGCTGCCAGAAAGCCACAAAGTACAAAGCGAGGCATTTAGAGACCATAGTAGATGCAGGTGGCGAGGGAAGACAGGTGGAGAAACGCAGACGGGTTCGTGTCGGTGCAGCCACTGCTTTGGACCCGAGCCTCCGTCCCGCCGGGGGCCGGGGTGCTGAGCCCAGCGAGGCGCGGACTGGGGAGCGAGGAAGAGGAGCACCCGCCAGATCGCGCCCCCTTTCGGGCAGAATCCGCTCCCGGTCCGGTCCCGATTGGCAGAAAACGATACGAGGGCGGTATACACTCAACACGCGCATGAACGATTCATCAAGCCCTCCGTGTGCCGGGTCTGGCTCACCAACCTCATCCTCTGAGCTCCGGGCTTCTGCCTCCCAGCCCAAGGAACCCACAGGGTCTCAGCCAACACTGGGAGAGTAGCTTAAATGGGCAGAAAGACAAGATAAGGGGATGTGGTGAATAACAGAATTATCCAATCCTATTATCAGCCCATCTGAGATTAAAGGGACGTCAATCATACTTGAATACTTTATTTAAAAAAAACAGTTTGCAGAGGGTCGCATACAAGAAGAATAAAGTGGTTTTTTTTTTTTCATAAAAATGTGGATTCAGGAGCATTACCGGAAATAATCAAGGAACGAGGAAGAGTGTGGCGAGAGAGTTCGGGTCCGGTATACCTCTCTCTCCGCACCACATTCTTTTGTAGTACCTGTGAAACATTCATGAAAACGGACCACAGAAGAAAACCTCAGTAAGTTCCAAAGTATAGAAATAACACAAACATCATTCTCTGACCATCATGCAATAAAACTAGAAATTGATAAAATAAAAAATAAAAGTCACTTCCACCTGAAAATTTTAAAGCATGCTATAATACAACTCGAGTCAAGAAGGAAATACAAATTTTAATTACATAATTTCTTGAAAGGGACAAAAGTGCAAATGTGACATAGAATCTGTGAGATAGAGCTAAAGCATTTATCAGAAGGAAATTTATTTCCTCACATACCTATATCGATAACAAAAAATAACAAATGAATCAAACACAGCTCAAGATGCTACTAAATGAACAACAAAATAAACCAAAAGAATGAGGAAGGAAGGGTTGTAAGGACAAATTCAGAGAATGAGTTAGAAACAAAGTATAACTAATAAAGATACAAAAAAGGTGGATATTTGAAAGTCAACAAAATAGACAAACCTCTAGCCAACAAAGAGAAAATTAGTGCAAATACACAAAATTAGAACTGGAGGAAATAATCATCAACACAGAAGACCTTTTTTGAAATCATCAGAGATAACATAACACAACTAGCAAATAACTGGCAAACTTAGTGGATTTTTTAGACAAATGTAGCATACTCAAACTAACCCTTGTAGAGACAGAAAGTCTAAACAGACCAGTTAAGAAAAATAGTTTAACAGGCATACTCAATAAAAAGGGCACCAAGCTCAAATACTTTCATAAAGAAATCCTACCAAACTGTCAAATATCAAAAAATCATGATGCTACTTAAATTATTCGAAGCATAGACACTAGCACTTTATAAAGTTAGTATAACATTTCAGTTTGCACTAAAAATGAAAACTACAGGTCAATTTCACATATGAAATATATGAAATGTAATGCCTAAATCTTAAATAAAATTTATAGCAAACAGAATACAATAGCACATTTAAAACAGTAATACAGGATGTCCAAGTAGGGTTTATTCCAGGAGTGTAAAGATCACTCATTATTAGGAAAGATATTAATATAATCCATTGTAATTGGAACTGGAGGTCATTATGTTAAATAAAGTAAGCGAGAAACAGAAAGACAAATTTCACATCTTTTCAGTCATATGTGGGAGTTTAAAAAGTTGATCTCATGGAGGTAGAGAGTAGAATCATAGATACCAGGGTCAGGGAAGGGTGTGTGCATTGGAGCTGCGTACAAAGGCAGGTTGGTCAATGTGTACAAACATATAATTAGATAGAAGGTATAGGTTCTTTTTTTTTTTTTTTTTTTGAGTTGGAGTCTGGCTGTCTTGCCCAGGCTGGAGTGCAGTGGCACCATCCCAGCTCACTGCAACCTCCACCTCCCAGGTTCAAGTGATTCTCCTGCCTCAGTCTCCTGAGCAGCTGGGATTACAGGTGCCTGCCACCACAGCCAGCCTCTAATGTTGATAGTAGAGTAGGGTGACTATAGTTAGCAACAATGTATTGTATATTTCAAAGTAGCTAGAAGAGATAACCTGAAACCAACACATAGAAATGATAAATACTCAAAGTGATGGATACCCCAAATACCCTGACTTTACTCATAATAAGTGAAAGACATACTAAATTAGATTGGATAGCATACTTTGTTGTCAAGGTTGCCGAGAAATTAGTCTTTTCATAGAGTACTGGTGGGAATGGAAAATGGTATAATTCCAAGGGCAGAAAATTTGCAGTATCTAGAAAAAATGTATAATTATTTACCCTTTAACCCACAAATTCCACTTCTAAAAAGCTATCCCTAATATATACTATCAAAATAAAAAGGGCCAGGCACAGTGGCTTACGCCTGTAATCTCAACACTTTGGAAGGCCAAGGCCGGCAAATCACTTGAGGCCAAAAGTTTGAGACCAGCCTGGTCAACACAGTGAAACCCTGCCTCTACTAAAAATACAAAAAGTAGTCAGGTGTAGTGGCGGGCACTTGTAATTGCAGCTCCTCAAGAGGCTGAGGCAGGAGAATTGCTTGAATCCCAGGAGGCAGAGGTTGCAGTGAGCCAAGATGTCACCACAGCACTCCAGCCTGGGTGAGAGAGCAAAACTCCATCTCAAATAATAATAATAATAATAAATACTAAATAAATAAAAAGGAAAACAGATGCATGACTATTCATCACAACTCTATTTGTAAAGCAAAAGAAGGAAACAATCCAGGCCGGGTGCGGTGGCTCATGCCTGTAATCCCAGCACTTTGGGAGGCTGAGGCAGGTGGATCACCAGGTCAGGAGATTGAGACCATCCTGGCTAACATGATGAAACCCCGTCTCTATTAAAATACAAAAAATTAGCTGGGTGTGGCGGCACGTGCCTGTAGCCCCAGCTACTAGGGAGGCTGGGGCCAAGATCATGCCACTGCACTCTAGCCTGGGAGACAGAGCGAGACTCCATCTCAAAAAAAAAAAAACAAAAAAAAGGAAACAATCCAAATGTCTGACAAAAGGGTCAATTTGAGAAAACTATGGTACATCAATATAATGTCACTGTAAAAAGGAATACTAAATGATCAGCTTCAATCTCTCCTTCCCCTATGAAGAAGGGCATATATGTATTTGAACTTCACTGGGACACTGGGTAATCACTCTCCTACAATTACCCCATGCTTATGTATGTTAAATAAATTTTGTATGTCTTTTTCTTTTATTAATCTGCCTTTGTCACTTCATTTTCAGCAAATTTCAGTGGGCAGAGAGGAAGCTTTTCCGCCACCCCTACATAGTTAATACTCTACCTTGAGCATGGCACACAGAGAATACTAAGGTGCTAATAGCTCTTACTGCGGCTTGTGAGGCAGTGGCTTCAAAACAGGAAATACAAGCCAAGAGGATTTCAGACTACTGCACTTCATCCACTGAGTGTTCAGCATCTAGAACTTTTCTTCCACAAAGAGAAACATGCAATTGTTACCACCTCTAGCTCCAGAGTCCTAGCTCAGAGATTTTTCCTATAGAAAGAAATGAGCCAGCCGGGCATGGTGGCTCATGTCTGTAATCCCAGCACTTTGGGAGGCCAAGGCGGGCAGATCACCTGAGGTCAGGAGTTTGAGACCAGCCTGGCCAACATGGCGAAAACCCATCTCTACTAAAAATACAAAAAAAATAGCTGGGCCTGGTGGTGTGTGCCTATAATTCCAGCTACTATGGAGGCTGAGGAAGGAGAATCGCTTGAACCCAGGAGGTGGAGGTTGCAGTGAGCTGAGATTGTACCACTGCACTCCAGCCTGGGCGACAGAGCAAGACTCCATCTCAAAAAAAAAAAAAAAAAAAAGAAGAAGAAGAAATAAATGAGCCAAAAAGTAGATAGCTTCCAATCCTTTCCCAAAATAACTGATTTAATTTGTAACATAGAATAGAGAAGTGGAAAGCTAAGGGCATTCTCAAGAATGGTGGAGATTTTGATGAAAGGTAATTGGGAGGAAATTTGTGAATCTAAGAAAGATAGATCTTAAACTGTAGTCTGGCTAGTATGCAGGAGAGAATCAGGAAATAAGACAGGTAGGAGGAACCCTTTTGGAGTCAGGACAAATATCAAATACTTACATCAGAAACTATTCCATTTAAGGAGCTACATTTTGATTGGATTTGTTCATAGAGGAATTTATACCTCAAGGCATTGTTGAAAACAATACAACAACTGGTCAGCAATAACTGAAACACAACAGTAGGGTGTGGTCAGAAAAAGAGTGAAAAGAACATTGCCAGCACCACTGTCATCCCAGGGTGACTGGGGGCATACCAAAAACTGCATCACCACGAAGACTAATGTCAGAGGATTAGCACTCTTGGGAGTGAAATATCCAGGGTTATATAATACTCCATGTTAATAAAATGAATGGCAATAATCAAATATCATCTCAATTGAGATACAGAAAGGATTCAACAAAATTCAACACACTTTTATGAAAAAAGCACTCAGCGGCCAGGCGCGATGGCTCACGCCTGTAATCCCAGCACTTTGGGAGGCCGAGGCGGGCGGATCACGAGTTCAGGAGATCGAGACCATCGTGGCTAACACGGTGAAACCCCGTCTCTACTAAAAAAAATGAAAAAAATTAGCCGGGCATGGTGGCAGACGCCTGTAGTCCCAGCTACTCGGGAGACTGAGGCAGGAGAATGGCGTGAACCCGGGAGGCAGACTTTGCAGTGAGCAGAGATGGCGCCACTGCACTGCAGCCTGGTCAAGGGAGCAAAACTCCGACTCAAAAAAAGAAAAAAGAAAAGAAAAAAGAAAAAAGTACTCAGCAAACTAGGAATAGAATGAAACTACCTCAACTTAATAAAAGCCATACATGAAAAGCCCACAGGTAATATATTCAGTGGCCTTAGCTTTTCCTCTAAGATCTAGAACAAGGCAAGGATGCTTACTCTCACCACTACTGTTCAACATAGCACTAGAAGTCCTACTCAGAGCAATTAGACAAGAAAAAAAGCCCCAGTGCGCTGGCTACAGCCTGTAATCCCAGCACTTTGGGAGGCCGAGAGGGTGCACTGCTTGAGCCCAGGTGTTCAAGACCAGCCTAGGCAACATGGTGAAACCCCATAACCATAAAAATCTACAAAAACTAGCCGGGCATGATGGCATGCACCTGTAATCCCAGCTACTTGGGAGGCTGAGGCAGGGTTCACTTGAACCCGGGAGGTGGAGGTTGCAATGAGCCGAGATCACACCATTGTACTCCAGCATGGGGACAAAGCCAGACCCCGTCTTGAAAGAAAAGAAAAGGAAGGAAAGAACGAAAGAAAGAAACAAAAGTCATCCAAACTGGAAAAGAAAACTAAAATTATCTGTTTACAGATGACATGATCTTATATGTGGAAACCCTGAAGACCTTCCCACACACACACAAAAAAACCTGTTACAACTAATAAACAACTTTAGAAAAGTAGCAGGGTATAAAATGAACACACAAAAATCAGTTGCATTTCTACAAACTAGCAATGACCAACCTGAAAAGAAAATTAAGAAAACAATCCCATTTACTATAGCACCAAAAAGAATAAAATATTTAGGCATAAACTGAACCAAGGAGGTAAAAGACTTGTGCGGGAAAAACTACAAAACATTGCTAAAAGAAATCAGACAAGATACAAATAAATGGAAAGGCATCCTGTGCTTGTGGAGTGGAAGACTTTAATACTGTGAATAAGTACATATTATCCAACGTGATCTACAGATTCAATGGCATTCTTATCAAAAACTCAATGGCAATTTTGCAGAAATAGGAAAATATAGAAAAAAATCATCCTAAGACTCATATGGAATCTCCAGGGAACCTGAACAGCCAAAACAATCTTGAAAAAGAACAAAGCTGTAGAACTCATTCTTCCTGATTTTGAACCATACTAGAAAGCAACGCTAATGAAGATGGTTGTAGGGGCCAGGCGCAGTGGCTCATGCCTGTAATCCCAGCACTTTGGGAGACCAAGGTGGGTGGATGACGAGGTCAGGAGTTCAAGGCCAGCCTGGCCAGCATGGTAAAACCCCGTCTCTACTAAAAATACAAAAGATTAGCTGGGCATGGTGGCACGTGCCTATAGTCCCAGCTACTTGGGAGGCTGAGGCAGGAGAATTGCTTGAACCCGGCAGGCAGAGGTTGCAGTGAGCTGAGATCATGCCAATGCACCCTAGCCTGGGTGACAGGTGACAGAGCAAGACTCTGTCTCAAACAAAAAAGATGGTTGTATTACTGACATAAAGACAGGTATACAGACTAATGGAACAGAGAGCCCAGAAATAAATCCTTGCATATATGGATGAATAATTTTGACAATGATGCCAAGACTACACAATGGAGAAAGGACAGAGCCTTCAGTAAACAGTATTGGAAAAAGTGGTTATCTACATGCAAAATAATGAATTGGACCTTATCTTTATACATATACAAAAAAAATTCAAAATGGGTTAAAGACCTAAACATAAGACCAAAAACTATACAACTCCTCGAAGAAAACATGGAGGAAAAGCTTCAGGACATTGGATTTGACAGTGATTTCTTGGACAAGCCACCAAGAACACAGACAACAAAAGCAAAAATAGACAAATGGGACCACACCAAACTTAAAAATTTCCGCACATCAAAGGAAACAATCAAAAAAGTGAAAACACAACCTATGGAACAGGAGGAAAATGTTTGCAACTGATAAAGGGTTAATATCCAGCGTATATAAGGAACTTGTACAACTCAACAACAACAAAAAACAAATAACCTGATTTTAAAATGGGCAACAGACTTTAATAAACATTTCTTGAAAAAAGATATACAAATAGCCAATAAGCATATGAAAAAATGTTCAACATTACTAATCATTAGAGAAATACAAATCAAAATCATAATGAAATATAATCTCACATCTGTTAGGATGGCCCTATGAAAAGAATAGAAAATAACAAGTGTTGGAGAGGATATGCAGAAATTGGAAATGTGTGCACTGTTGGCGGGAATGTAAAATGGTGCAGCCATTATGAAAAACAGTGTGGAGTTCGTGGTCTATATACATATATATATACATGTATATATATAAGTTATAGGTTTTCATCCACAGTTACTGGTTCATAACTTCCATCTCCCTTGTTACAGTCTTTTGTTATAATGTTGTGTGTGTTAGGCCTCAGGGGCAGGCCTCAAGGAACAGAATCTACCTCCTGCCTTCCTTTCACCTGCCCCAAGGCAGAACTCTAATATTACCCCATCTTTTTCATTATGGGTCTTAAGACCCTCCCCTGGGAGGGTCCAGTCTCATACCCTGGAGGAAGGAATGCTTCCATACAAACCCAAGAAGACTGGGTTCAAAGACCTCCAGATAGCTGAACCCGTGAAGGTTGCTGGAGGGTGGCATGCCCAGGGAGGGCATGGAAGCTCCATACCCCTTCCACCATACCTTGCCCTGCCAGTCTATTCATCTGTGTCCTTTATAATAAACTGGTGAATGTAAATGTTTCCCTGAGTTCTGTGAGCCACTCCAGCAAATTAACTTAACCCAAAGAGGAGGTTGTAGGAACCCCAAATTGAAACCAGTCAGTCAAGAAGTCCCAGAGACCCAGACTTGCAACTGGTATCTGAGGCTATAGGGGGAAGTCTTGTGGACTGAGCCCCCAACCTGCAGGAACTGACATTACCTTCAGGTAGACAGTGTCAGAACTGAATTGGAGGACACCTAGCTGGTGTCTGCTGCTTGATGTGTGGGGAAAAACCTTCACACATTTGGCCACAGTAGTCTTCTATGTTGATGATTATTGTGGTGTAAGACTAGAGGAAAATGGTTGGTGAGAGTTTTCCCAACACAGGGTTTCTTCACAAAATTAAAATTATGATTCCCATATAATCCAGCAAACCTACTTCTGCAGGGGTTTCAAAAGAATTCAAAAGCATTCAAAGTAGGATCCTAAAGAGATAACTGTAGCATTATTCACACTAGCCAAGAGGTAAAAGCAAAACAAATGTCAATTGACAGATGAATGGATATACCAAATGTGGTATATACATACAACAGAATATTATGTAGCCTTAAAAAAGGAAATCCTATCACATACTACAATAATAGATAAATCTTGAGGACATTATGGCAAGTGAAGTAAGCCAGTCACAAAAGAACAGACACTGTATGATTCCACTAATAAGAAGTATCTAAAGTAGACACAATTATAGAAACAGAAGGTAGAAAGGTGGTTGCCAAGGACTGGCTGGAAGGGAGAGGAGAATTAGCGTTTGTTGGGCATAGAGTTTCAGTGTTGAAAGATGAAAGTGTTCCAGAGATCTGTTGCATAACAATGTGAATATACTTAATACTACTAAACTGTATACTTAAAAATGGTTAGGATGATAAATTTAATGTTATGTGTTTTACTTTGATTTAAAACAATTTAAATACGTTCAGATAAATAAAAATGAGTTCAGTCAGGCGCGGTGGCTCATGCCTGTAATCCCAGCACTTTGAGAGGCCAAGGCGGGCGAATCACTTGACGCTAGGAGTTGGAGGCCAGCCTAGTCACAAAACCATGTCTCTACAAGAAAATATAAAAAATTAGCTGGGTGTGGTGGCACATGTCTGTAATCCCAGCTACTGGGGAGGCTGAGGCATGAGAATCGTTTGAACCTGGGAAGGTGAGGTTGCAGTGAGCTGAGAATGTGCCACTGCACTCCAGCCTGGGTGACAGGGTGAGACTAGGTCTCAAAAAAAAAAAAAAGTACACAACAGCACAACATATCAAAATGTACTGGATACAGCTAAAACAGTGCTAAGAAGTAAATTTATAGCTGGGAATGTTTATGTTAGGAAAGACAAAAGATCTTAAATCAATAGCCCTTACATTGTAAGACACTGAAAAAAGACGAGCAAACTAAAGCTAACGCAACAGGAAGGAAAGAAATAAAGATTAGAGTGGAAACTAATGAAATAGAAAAACAATAAATAAATAAATAAAATAAAATATTTATTTCTTAAAAAGGTAAACAAAATTGTCAAACCCTAAACTAGATTGACCAAGATAAGGGAGAGATGATTCAAGTCACTAAAATCAGAATTGAAATGGAAACATTACTGTGGGGCGCAGTGGCTCACACCTGAAATCCCAGCACTTTCGGAGACCAAGGTGTGTGCATCACGAGGTCAGGAGTTTGGGACCAGCCTGGCCAACATGGTGAAACCCCATTTCTACTAAAAATACAAAAATTAGGTAGGTATGGTGGTACCCACCTATAGTCCCAACTACTCAGGAAGCTGAGGCAGAAGAATCACTTGAACCTGGGAGCCGAGATTGTGCCACTGCACTCCAGCCTGAGGGACAGAGTGAGACTGCATCTCGGAAAAAAAAACAAAAAACAAAAAAGAAATCCCCTGTTAGAAGAGAATAAAATAGAGTGAAAACAAGATGGCCAAATAGGAACAGCTCTGGTCTGCAGCTCCCAGCGTGATTGCCACAGAAGATAGGTGATTTCTGCATTTCCAACTAAGGTAACTGGTTCATCTCACTGGGACTGGTTGGACAGTGGGTACAGCCCATGGAGGGTGAGCTGAAGCAGGGCGGAGCATCGCCTCACCTGGGAAGTGCAAGGTTCAGGGGATTTCCCTTTCCCAGCCAAGGGAAACTGTGACAGAGTGTACCTGGAAAATCGGGACACTCCTGCCCTAATACTGCACTTTTCCAATGGTCTTAGCAAATGGCACACCAGGAGATTATACCCAGAGCCTGGCTCAGAGGGTCCTACGCCCACGGAGCCTTGCTCACTGCTAGAGCAGCAGTCCGAGATCGAACAGCGAGGTGGCAGCCTGGCTGGGGGAGGGGGTCCTCCATTGCTGAGGCTTGAGTAGGCAAACAAAGTGGCCCAGAAGCTCTTATTGGGTGGAGTCCACCACAGCTCAAGGAGGCCTGCCTGCCTTTGTAGACTCCACCTCTGGGGGGCAGGGCATAGCTGAACAAAAGGCAGCAGAAACTTCTGCAGACTTAAACGTCCCTGTCTGACAGCTCTGAAGAGAGCAGTGGTTCTCCCAGCACGGAGTTTGAGTCCTAAGAAGGGACAGACTGCCTCCTCAAGTGGGTCCCTGACCCCTGTGTAGCCTAACTGGGAGACACCTCCCAGTAGGGGCCGACTAACACCTCATACAGCCAGGTGCCCCTCTGAGACGAAGCTTCCAGAAGAAGGATCAGGCAGTAATATTTGCTGTTCTGCAATATCTGCTGTTCTGCAGCCTCTGCTGGTGATACCCAGGCAAACAGGGTCTGGAGTGGACCTCTAGCAAACTCCAACAGACCTGCAGCTCAGAGACCTGTTAGGAGGAAAACTAACAAACAGAAAGAAATAGCATCAACATCAACAACAAGGACATCCACACCAAAAGCCCATCTGTAGGTCACCATCATCAAAGACCAAAGGCAGATAAAACCACAAAGATGGAGAGAAACCAGAGCAGAAAAGCTGAAAATCCTAAACACCAGAGCACCTCTTCTCCTCCAAAGGATCGCAGCTCCTCACCAGCAATGGAACAAAGCTGGATGGAGAATCACTTTGATGAATTGACAGAAGTAGGCTTCAGAAGGTCAGTAATAACAAACTTCTCCGAGCTAAAGGAGGCGGTTTGAACCCATCATAAGGAAGCTAAAAACCTTGAAAAAAGATTAGACAAATGGCTAACTAGAATAAACAGTGTAGAGAAGACCTCAAAGGACCTGATGGAGCTGAAAACCATGGCACGAGAACTACGTGACACATGTAAAAGCTTCAGTAGCCGATTCCATCAAGTGGAAGAAAGGGTATCAGTGATTGAAGATCAAATTAATGAAACGAAGCAAGAAGAGAATTTAGAGAAAAAAGGGTAAAAAGAAGCCGGGCGCGGTGGCTCACGCCTGTAATCCCAGCATTTTGGGAGGCCGAGGCGGGCGGATCACAACGTCAGGAGATCGAGACCATCCTGGCTAACACGGTGAAACCCCGTCTCTACTAAAAATACAAAACATTAGCTGGGCATGGTGGCGGGCGCCTGTAGTCCCAGCCACTCGGGAGGCTGAGGCAGGAGAATGGCGTGAACCCGGGAGGTGGAGCTTGCAGTGAGCCAAGATGGCACCACTGCCCTCCAGCCTCAGTGACACAGTGAGACTCTGTCTCAAAAAAAAATAAATAAATAAAAGAAAAAAGGCTAAAAAGAAACAAACAAAGCCTCCAAGAAATATGGGACTATGTGAAAAGACCAAATCTACGTCTGATTGGTGTACCTGACACTGACGGGGAGAATGGAACCAAGTTGGAAAACACTCTTCAGGATATTATCCAGGAGAACTTCCCCAACCTAGTAAGGCAGGCCAACATTCAAATTCAGGAAATACAGAGAACACCACAAAGATACTCCTCGAGAAAAACAATCCCAAGACACATAATTGTCAGATTCACCAAGGTTGAAATGAAGGAAAAAATGTTAAGGGCAGCCAGAGAGAAAGGTCGGGTTACCCGCAAAGGGAATCCCATCAGACTAACAGCAGATCTCTTGGCAGAAACTCTACAAGCCAGAAGAGAGTGGGGGCCAATATTTATCATTCTTAAAGAAAAGAATTTTCAACCTAGAATTTCATATCCAGCCAAACTAAGCTTCATAATTGAAGGAGAAATAAAATCCTTTGCAGACAAGCAAATGCTGAGAGATTTTGTCACCACCAGGCCTGCCTTACAAGAGCTCCTGAAGGAAGCGCTAAACATGGAAAGGAACAACTGGTACCAGCCACTGCAAAATCATGCCAAATTGTAAAGACCATCGATGCTAGGAAGAAACTGCATCAACTAATGGGCAAAATAACCAGCTAACATCATGACAGGATCAAATTCACACATAACAATATTAACCTTAAATGTAAATGGGCTAAATGCCCCAATTAAATTAGACACAGACTGGCAAATTGGATAAAGAGTCAAGACCCATCAAGTGTGCTGTATTCAGGAGACCAATCTCACATGCAGAGACGCACACAGGCTCAAAATAAAGGGATGGAGGAAGATCTACCAAGCAAATGTAAAGCAAAAAAAAAAGCAGCAGTTGCAATCCTAGTCTCTGATAAAACAGACTTTAAACCAACAAAGATCAACAAAGACAAAGAAGGCCATTACATAATGGTAAAGGGGTCAATTCAACAAGAAGAGCTAACTATCCTAAATATATATGCACCCAATACAGGAGCACCCAGATTCATAAAGCAAGTCCTTAGAGACCTACAAAGAGACTTAGACTCCCACACAATAATAATGGGAGACTTTAACACCCCACTGTCAATATTAGACAGATCAATGAGACAGAAGGTTAACAAGGATATCCAGGACTTGAACTCAGCTCTGGACCAAGCAGACCTAATAGACATCTACAGAACTCTCCACCCCAAATAAACAGAATATACATTCTTCTCAGCACCACATCACACTTATTCCAAAATTGACCACAAAGTTGGAAGTAAAGCACTCCTCAGCAAATGTAAAAGAACAGAAATCACAACAAACTGTCTCTCAGACCACAGTGCAATCAAATTAGAACTCAGGATTAAGAACCTCATTCAAAACTGCACAACTACATGGAAACTGAACAACTTACTCCTGAATGACTACTGGGTAAATAACAAAATGAAGGCAGAAATAAAGATGTTCTTTGAAACCAATGAGAACAAAGACACAACATACCAGAATCTCTGGGACGCATTTAAAGCAGTGTGTAGAGGGAAATTTATAGCACTAAATGCCCACAAGGGAAAGCAGGAAAGATCTAAAATCGACATCCTAACATCACAATGAAAAGAACTAGAGAAGCAAGAGCAAACACATTCAAAAGCTAGCAGAAGGCAAGAAATAACTAAGATCAGAGCAGAACTGAAGGAGACAGAAACACAAAAAACCATTCAAAAAATCAATGAATCCAGGCGCTGGCTTTTTTGAAAAGATCAACAAAATTGATACATCACCAGCAAGACTAATAAAGAAGAAAATAGAGACTAATCAAACAGATGCAATGAAAAATGATAAAGGGGATATCACCACCGATCCCACAGAAATGCAAACTACCATCAGAGAATACTATAAACACCTCTATGCAAATAAACTAGAAAATCTAGAAGAAATGGATAAATTCCTGGACACATACACTCTCCTAAGATTAAACTGGGAAGAAGTTGAATCCCTGAATAGACCAATAACAGGCTCTGAAATTGAGGCAATAATTAATAGCCTACCAACCAAAAAAAGTCCAGGACCAGACGGATTCACAGCAGAATTCTACCACAGGTACAAAGAGGAGCTAGTCCGATTTCTTCTGAAACTATTCCAAACAATAGAAAAAGAGGGACTCATCCGTAACTCATTTTATGAGGCAAGCATTATCCTGATACCAAAGCCTGGCAGAGACATGACAAAAAAAGAGAATTTTAGACCAATATCCCTGATGAACATCGATGCGAAAATCCTCAATAAAATACAGGCAAACCAAATCGAGCAGCACATCAAAAAGCTTATCCACCAAGAACAAGTTGGCTTCATCCCTGGGATACAAGGCTTGTTCAACATATGAAAATCAATAAATGTAATCCATCACATAAACAGAACCAAAGCCAAAAACCATGTGATTATCTCAATAGATGCAGAAAAGGCCTTCGACAAAATTCAACAGCCCTTCATGCTAAAAACTCTCAATAAACTAGGTATTGACGGGACGTATCTCAAAATAATAAGAGCTGTTTATGCCAAACCCACAGCCAATATCATATTGAATGGGCAAAAACTGGAAGCATTCCCTTTTAAAGCTGGCACAAGACAGGGATGCCCTCTCTCACCACTTCTATTCAACATAGTGTTGGAAGTTCTGGCCAGGGCAATCAGGCAAGAGAAACAAATAAAGGGTATTCAATTAGGAAAAGAGGAAGTCAAATTGTCCCTGCTTGCAGATGACATGATTGTATATTTAGAAAACCCCATCGTCTCAGTCCAAAATCTCCTTAAGCTGATAAGCAACTTCAGCAAAGTCTCAGGATACAAAATCAATGTGCAAAAATCACAAGCATTCCTATACATCAGTAACAGACAGAGAGCCAAATCATGAGGGAACTCCCATTCACAATTGCTACAAAGAGAATAAAATACCTAGGAATCCAACTTACAAGGGATGTGAAGGACCTCCTCAAGAAGAACTACAAACCACTGCTCAACAAAATAAAAGAGGACACAAACAAATGGAAGAACATTCCATGCTCATGGATAGGAAGAATCAATGTCATGAAAATGGCCCTACTGCCCAAGGTAATTTATAGATTCAATGCCATCTCCCTCAAGCTACCAATGACTTTCTTCACAGAATTGGAAAAGACTACTTTAAAGTTCATATGGAACCAAAAAAGAGCCTGCATTGCCAAGACAATCCTAAGCCAAAAGAACAAAGCTGGAGGCATCACGCTACCTGACTTCAAACTATACTACGTGGTTACAGTAACCAAAACAGATGGTACTGGTACCAAAATAGATATATAGACCAATGGAACAGAATAGAGCCCTCAGAAATAATACCACACGTCTACAACCATTTGATCTTTGACAAACCTGACAAAAACAAGAAATGGGGAAAGGATTCCCTATTTAATAAATGGTGCTGAGAAAACTGGCTAGCCATATGTAGAAAGCTGAAACTGGATCCCTCCCTTAAACCTTATACAAAAATTAATTCAAGATGGATGAAAGACTTAAATGTTAGACCTAAAACCATAAAAACCCTAGAACAAAACCTAGGCAATACCATTCAGGACATAGGTATGGACAAGGACTTCATGACTAAAACACCAAAAGCAATGACAACAAAAGCCAAAATAAACAAATGGGATCTAATTAAACTAAAGAGCTTCTGCACAGCAAAAGAAACTACCATCAGAGTGAACAGGCAACCTACAGAATGGGAGTAAATTTTTGCAATCTACCCATCTGACAAAGGGCTAATATCCAGAATCTACAAAGAACTCAAACAAATTTACAAGAAAAAATCAAACAACCCCATCAAAAAGTGGGCAAAGGATATGAACAGACACTTCTCAAAAGAAGACATTTATGCAGCCAAAAGACACATGAAAAAATGCTCATCATCACTGGCCATCAGAGAAATGCAAATCAAAACCACAATGAGATACCATCTCACACCAGTTAGAATGGTGATCATTAAAAAGTCAGGAAACAACAGGTGCTGGAGAGGATGTGGAGAAATAGGAATGCTTTTACACTGTTGGTGGGACTGTAAACTAGTTCAGCCATCGTGGAAGACAGTGTGATAATTCCTCAAGGATCTAGAACTAGAAATACTATTTGACTCAGCAATCCCATTACTGGGTATATACCCAAAGGATTATAAATTATGCTACTATAAAGACACATGCACACATATGTTTATTGCGGCACTATTCACAATAGCAAAGACTTGGAACAACCCAAATATCCATCAATGATAGACTGGATTAGGAAAATGTGGCACATATACACCATGGAATACTATGCAGCCATAAAAAAGGATGAGTTCATGTCCTTTGTAGGGACATGGATGAAGCTGGAAACCATCATTCTCAGCAAACCATAACAAGGACAGAAAACAAAACACCTCATGTTCTCACTCATGGGGGGAATTGAACAATAAGAACACTTGGACACAGGAAGGGGAATGTCACACACCAGGGCCTGTCGTGGAGTGGGTTAGTGGGGAGGGATAGCATTAGGAGAAATACCTAATGTAAATAACAAGTTAATGGGTGCAGGATACCAACATGGCACGTGTATACATATGTAACAAACCTGCACATTGTGCACATGTACCCTAGAACTTAAAGTACAAAAAATAAGAGAATAAAATATTTCCCCCCTTAGACCTGAGCCCTGATAGTATTTATTTATATTTCTGACCCCCTACTACAGCTTCTTACTTTTGACAATTGTCCTTTTTTTTTTTTTGAGATTGAGGCTCGCTCTGTCACCCAGGCTGGATTGCAACAGCGCAATCTCAGCTCACTGCAACCTCCACCTCCCAGGTTCCAGTGATTATCCTGTCTCAGACTCTCAAGTAGCTGGGATTACAGGCGGCTGTCACTATGCCTGGCTAATTTTTTGTATTTTTAGTAGAGAAGGGGTTTTGCCATATTGGCCAGGCTGGTCTCAAACTCCTGACCTCAAGTGATCCTCCCACCTCGGCCTCCCAAAGTGCTGGGATTACAGGCATGAGCCACCATGCCCAGCCAATTGTCCTTTTTCTAACACAAAATACTTCCATGGTCTGAGCACCGTGAATGAGGCTGTCAAACTGGAAAAGTGAGTTAAGCTGAGATGCAGACCTGCCAAAGTCTCAACCAACACCATAGGGAGCACTGGATTACATATGGCCTATACTCCTGTGGTGCCAAAACGACAAATCTTTTTACTCCACTGCAATCAATTGTTGAAGGTGCATCATCCCAGGAAGGGTGTGCTTTTGGGAGAATCAACTCTCTGCACCTGAGATAAACCCTAGAACATTGGCAGCACTCCAAACAACTAAGGGAAATGAGTCCTTCTTTGAGAGGGAATGTAGGTGGCATTTCTCCATGTCTTATATATCTCAGTTATTATTTATTCAAATATTGCCTCTGCTCTATTGTCTTTCATCCATTAAAAATTCTAATTAAATATATATTAGATCTCCTTATCCTCTCTTCTATTAATACCATTATTTTGCATCTCCATACTTTGTTCTGAATAATTACTTTTTGTTTTTTTATGAGACAGAGTATCGCTCTGTTGCCCAGGCTGGAGTAAAGTGGCACAATCTCGGCTCACTGCAAGCTCCGCTTTCTGGGTTCATGCCATTTTCCTGCCTCAGACTCCCAAGTAGCTGGGACTACAGGTGCCTGCCACCACACCTGGCTAATTTTTTGTATTTTTAGTAGAGATGGGGTTTCACCGAGTTATCATGATGGTCTCGATCTCCTGACCTCGTGAACCACCTGCCTCAGCCTCCCAAAGTGCTGGGTTTACAGATGTGAGCCACCACGCCCAGCGTGTTCTGAATAATTTCTTCTAAATTATTTTCCACTTTACTAATACTCTTTTCAGTTGTGTCAAGTTTGTTGTTAATTTATCCTTCAAGTTCTTAATTTTGGTTATTATATATTTCAATTACAAATAAATTTTGGTTTTTATTTTTAAATCTACTTCGTCAGTTTTTATATTTTTCAATTTGCTCCTTAAATTTTTTAGATTAGCTTTTGTTTCTTTGAATATAGTAAGCAGTTTTGTTACACCCTTATCTGATAATTTCCAAATCTGAAGTTTAGTAGATTCTATTTCTGGTATCTGTCATTTCTTTTTCTTTCTTTCCTTTCTTTTCTCTTTTTCTTTTTTCTTTCTTTCTCTCTTTCTTTCTCTCTCTTTTCTTTCTTTTCTTTTTTTGAGTCTGTTGTTTCTGTTGATTTTCACGGAGACTTGTTTGTTCATGTGTATGCACGTTTGTATGCTGGGTTTTGTATTTGAAAAAAATATTTCTAGAAATAATGTGAAGTCTAGGTTAAAGTTTTATTCCTTCAGAGAGGATTTTCTTTTGCTTCTTCAGAAACCTAGATGTGCTGAAATACAGCCCACCTTAAACCAGTGTCAAGGTTTGGGGTCTTATGGGCTACCAGATGATGGTAAGCCAAGCTGCAGTTTATGGGTGAGCAGGTTTACTTACAGTTCCCCTTTACTCCTAGAAAGCAGCCTCAGGGGGAGTGCATGATCACCAATGTCGCCACTTTGGGCAGCCCTAGGTTTCTGTTTTTGTTCCTCTAACCCTATGAGGCTATCAGAAACATAGATAAGTCTCTTGGCTTCTACATCCAGATTACAAATGTTGCCAGGGCAAAAGGGGTCCCAACTGCTAGATTCACTTCTCTGGGTTTGTTTCTTTTACTGACACTCAGCAGGTAATTGATTACTAGTTTATTATATTTTTAATGCTTTAAGAAAGAATTATTTTTATATATCACCCGGCTTTATTGTTGTCTTTACCAGGGGGATTATCTGAATTACCTAGACATCCATTATCTGGAACAGAGTTCTGTCTCTCTTCACTTGTCTTAATTGAAAACTAGAGTCAGCACCCCTGAATATCAGCGGAATCCACTGCACCATAATCTGTGGATTATGCTGTTAAAGCGAACTAAATATGGCCTGAGAAAGATTCCATACTTTTATATTTGGGTCCTTGTGGAGGAATTGCAACCTAGTTTAATGGGTAGACAAGATTGAAAACCTAACTTAGGAATATGTGCCTATAACAATAGCTGAGTCTTGGCCAATCCCAGTGGCTGTAATTCAACCATTCATACACTGCTGAGTGTTCAAATTGTGTTCAAATAAGGCAAAAACTGAGCTGTAACCCATCCAGCCATTCTGTACCTCACTTCCAATTTCCATATGTCATTCCTTTTTTTTTTTTTTTTAAGAAGGAGTTTTGCTGTTTTGCTCTGTTGCCCAGGCTGGAGTGCAGTGGCTCGATCTCAGCTCACTGAAACCTCTGCCTCCCGGGTTCAAGCAATTCTCCTGGCTCAGCCTCCTGAGTAGCTGGGATTACAGGAGCATGCCACCACAGCCGGCTAATTTTTTTGTATTTTTAGTAGAGACGGGGTTTCACCATGTTGGTCAGGCTTGTCTTGAACTCCTGACCTCGTGAGCCACACACCTCGGCCTCCCAAAGTGCTGGGACTATAGGCGTGGGCCACTGCGCTCGGCCCTCCCTTTTTTTTTTTTTTTTTTTTGGTCTATAAATCTTCTTCCACCATGTGACTGCGCTGAGTCTCTGTGAATCTGTTGTGATTCTGGGGGCTGCCCGATTCGCAAACCGTTCATTGCTCAATTAAACTCCTTTAAATTTAATTCAGCTGAATTTTTTCTTTCATCAATGCCCATATTCTGAAGGTGTGAGTGAGCCTATACCAACAAGGTCAGGCTCAAACCTAGCCATTTTCTTCCAAAGTGTTAACCACAGTATTAAATAGCACCAAGGTTTTTAAAATAACTGAGACATTTACACACAAATATATTTTTAAAAAATAGAGATGGCCGGGCACGGTGGCTCAGGCCTGTAATCCCAGCACTTGGTAGGCTGAGGCAGGCGGATCACCTGAGGTCGGGAGTTTGAGACAAGCCTGACCAACATGGAGAAACCCCGTCTCTACTAAAAATACAAAATTAGCCATGCATGGTGGCGCATGCCTGTAATCCCAGGTACTTGGGAGGCTGAGGCAGGAGTATTGCTTGAACCTGGGAGGCGGAGGTTGCAGTGAGCCGAGATCGCGACATTGCACTCCAGCCTGGGCAACAAGAGTGAAACTCCATCTCAAAAAAAAAAAAAAAAAAAGAGATATAATCCAGTACCTTATATCTGTGCTACACCCTCATACCGTAGACTTTGTATGACTGTACGATGCTCTTCTTTGCATGACTATACAAGGCCCTTCAAAACCCGAGAAAAGTGTTCCTATTCTCATGTCAAAACTTCCTAGCACTATTAATGGAATGAACTGTTGGGGGAAAATGAAATAAAAAAGCAATGTTATTTCCCCTAAATCTTTAGCAAGCACTTGTTGGATTAGTGAATCTTTGCCCTTGCGTGCAAGTCAGAGGATGGCAGCTCAAACTCACTAGAATCCATCTGGTTGTCTCCTCTTTTCTTTTGTCTCACATGCTTTGTTATGTGTCAGTTTAACTATACATATTTTAAAATAAGGACTTTCAGGGCAAAACATCTTACCATATACTATCACCGTAACTTGATGTAAACTTGAACTTAGTATACAGTAAGGCTGAGCTTATAAAATGTTCATTCAGGCTTACGTCAAGTTATGGTGGTAGAATATGGTAAATGAACTTATGTGATCTTATAAACTTAAAAACTGCTTATAAACTGCTCTAAAACTTTTTTTAAAAATTAAAAATAAAACAAATTCAAGGTATGCTCTTCTACTGGATATGCCATCTTAATTTTCTGTAACGGAAACTATCCTTTTGCCAACATCTACTCAGATGACTGGACTAATACAGTCATGCCTAGATCAACCTCAGGGATATGATCTGAAAAATTAGTCATTAGGGCATTTCATCACTGTGCAAACATTTTAGAGAGTATTTAACACAAACCTAGATGGTATAGCCTACTCCACACCTAGGTTATACGGTGTAGTCCATTGCTGCTGGGCTACAAACCACTACAGCATGTTACTGTATTGAATACTGTAGGGCAATGGAACACACAGATACGTATTTGTGTACTTAAACACAGGAAAGATACAGTAAAAATATGGTATTATAGTCTTATAAAACCATGGTCGTACATGTAGTCAGTCATTGACGGAAAGGTCTTTGTGTGAAGCACAAATGTAGTTCCAATTTGAGCATGACATCTTGTTGAAGGTTTAAGAATTAACCTGTATACTGAGAGTACATGTGGCTTCAGGTTGTTCACATACATATATTTTCAGGTTGTTCATACATATTATATGCTATTATAAGGTATTTTAAACTACCATGAACACCACAATAAAACATGGGAAAATGTTAATGATTTATTAGAGGAAAATAACTCAGTTATGAATATTGAAGCCCATTCTAAAGATAGAATTTTTGAAGCTAAAGAATATGCCCTAGATAACTACTATAGGTATTGTAAAAACAATTTGTTTTGAAAACCCAGAGGGCATATTCAAAAACAAGAATCTACCATACAGAAAGGTAGTCGCCATCTCAAAACTCTCATATATAGCAAAGGACTTTGGTCTTCCCAAGATAGCCATTTGGTTGTGCCTAAGTCATTCCCCAGAACTTTGATGTGCCTCGCACATGAAAGCACCCATAAATAATGGCAAGAACAAATTCACTACAAATTTTCAAAATTATTGTTAGAAAATTTTTCTCAAGAAGCTCTATGGGTAGATGAATCTTTTCTTCTCTGTGTTGATCATAACCCTCCAAAAAACTAAAACTATAGCAAGGCTTCAGTTTTCCACCTCCAGTACCATTTGCGCATTTACAAATGGATTTCATTCAGTTTTCCAAAATTTTAAAAAATTGAACGTTGTTTCAACAATATTTTCAAAAGTAAAATTGTGTAATTTGGGTTGGACTGAAGCTTTCTCTTCTAAAAGATTAATACTTTAAGTTAGTGTTGTCAAATAGGGCTTTTTACAATGATGAAAATGTTCTATATCTGTGCTGTCCACCTGGTAGGTATGACATGCCACGTGTGGCTATTGAGCATTGAAATGGGAATAGTACAACAGCTGTTACCAAAACCTAATAACAAGTATCATTCAAAGCTTGCAGATTTTGTTTTTCCAACTGGGAAATACAAAACATTTAGCACTGTTAATGGACAGAGAAATCCACTTCAGTAGTGAAATTCTTAAGATTCTCCCATTAAAACATACACTTTTTGTCCTTATTCTCAAAATCTGAGAAAGCAACACAAATTTATGGTCTTCTTTAAATCAACATTTGAAAACACCATCGCAAAATTACAACTGAGACAGTGAGAGATCTAACCTAACCAATTCCATCTTGCTTCTAACCTCCAAGCTGTCCTTGTTCATTCCTGGTCGTAGGCTGACCTAACTTTGGGAGGAACTTAGTTTATAGTTTAGCTTTGAAACAAAGACAATAGCAGCCCTTTCCAAAACAAACCCGCTTCCTGCCTGGGGACTAGACTGCTTTCGCAGGACTAACAAATTAGCCACAAGATTATAAATTATGGTTTAGGAGTCATGCAGCTGGAGGCTGCAAGATTCTAAACCTCCCCCAATTGCTCCTCAGGATAACATCACTATTGTAAAACCGAAGATCAGTTCTTGAGATATTTTGCAGCCCCTGTACTCTATGGATCAGCTAGCACCACCCATAACGATAAACTGGCTCATCTGGTCTTGTGGCCCCCATCCAGAAATTAAGCCAACACAAGAGGACAGCTTCGACTCCCTCTGATTTCATCTCCGACCCGACTAATCAACTTTCCCAACTCACTGGTCCCCTACCCACCAAATTATCCTTAAAAACTGCAATCCACTTGGGGAGACTGATTTGAATAATAATAAAACGGGTCTCCCACACAGCCGGCTTTGCATGCCCGTCTTGATAAATGGTTCTGTCTAGGCAGTGGGCAAGCTGAACTCATTGGGTGGTTACACATTTTCAAATTTTCAGAGCTTTCCTTAGACTAAAACTTTACCATCAGTCCTAAGGTAGTATGATCCATGCTACAAAACTCGCCATAAAACCTTACTATGTAACACTGCTATAGAAATCTATAAAGTGTTTCCTTCGTAGGAGGGCCGTAGGCAGCCATGGCGCCCAGCAGGAATGGCATGATGTTGAAGCCCCACTTCCACAAGGACTGGCAGCAGCGTGTGGCCACGTGGTTCAACCAGAAGATCCGCAGAATCAAGGCCCGGCAAGCCAAAGGGCGCTGCATCGCCCCGCGCCCGGAGAGTCGGGACCCATCTGGCCCATTGTGCTGTGCCCTGCTGTGCGTTATCACATCAAGGTGCGCGCCGGCAGAGGCTTCAGCCTGGAGCTCAGGGTGGCGGGCATTCACAAGAAGGTGACCCGGACCACTGGCATCTCTGTGGATCCGAGGCGGCAGAACAAGTCCACCGATTCCCTGCAGGCCAATGTGCAGCGTCTGAATGAGTATTGCTCCAAACTCATCCTCTTCCCCAGAAAGCCCTCGGCCCCCAAGAAGGGAGACAGTTCTGCTGAAGAACAGAAATTGGCCACCCAGCTGACAGGACCGGTCATGCCCATCAAGAATGTAAGGAGAAAGCCCGAGTCATCACTGAGAAGTAGAGGAATTGCAAAGCTTTCGCTAGTCTCCGCATGGCCGGTGCCAATGCTTGGCGGCAATGCTCGGCTCTTCGGCATATGGGCAAAAAGAGCCAAGGAAGCTGAAAAACAGGATGTGTGAAAGCAAAAATAAAGCCCTCTTGGGGACTTGTAATAAATACGTTTTAAAAGAAATCTATAAAGTTTAAACTGATTCTTCCTCTGACAGAGAAAGGCAGTTTCTTAACAGATAGAAAACACGTGAAACTGGTGGTCGGTCACTTCCCAATAAGATCTCAGGAGTGGGGAGAAATAACACAAGATTTAGGAACTATGCCAACGTTTACGACCCCAGGTCTAGAGGTCAAGCCGTGCACTTGGTCTCTCAAGTCGCCTGCTTGGCCCTCTTCCAAGTGTACTTTCCTTCATTAGTGCTCTAAATATTTTCAATAATTTTTCACCCCTGCTCTAAGACTTGCCTCGGTCTCTCCTTCGGCATTATGCTCCTCAATCGAATTCTTTCCTTCTCCTGAGGAGGCAAGAATTAATGTTGCTGCAGACTCCTTACAGATAACTGCCACCGCTAATATGTTGAGATGTTCACACATGCATGTGTGAGGCCCTTCAAAATGTGAGCTGCGGTTAGAATTGGGAAGAGAAGGGAGTGGGGATATGTATCTTTGTTTTCTGATTGCCTTCCATATCTTTTAAAACTAGCTAAGTGCTGCTTCAAGTCAGCCAGATACGAAGGCTTCAATTTATTTAACACAATAAAGAACTTCTATTTGGATCCAAAGCTTACATTATGCTTTAATAAAAGTTACCCTAATAAAGTCAGAAACAATAACAATGAGTCAAAGAAATGCATACAAAGTAGGCCAGGCGTGGTGGCTCACGCCTGGAATCCCGGCACTTTAGGAGGCAGAGGCGGGTGGATCGTGGATCACTTGAGTTCAGGAGTTCGAGACCAGCCTGGCCAACATGGTGAAACCCCCGTTTCCACTAAAAAAAAAAAAATTAGCCGGGCATGGTGGTGCATCATGCCTGTAATTCCAGCTACTCGGGAGGCTAAGGCAGGAGAATCACTTGCATCTGGGAGGCACAGCTTGCACGTGAACCGAGATGGTGCCATTGCACTCTGCACTCCAGCCTGGGAGACAGAGTGAGACTCTTGTCTCCAAAAAAAAAAAAAAAAGCCTACAAAAAGCTTACAAAGTCTAAAATCGGACGAACAAGAGGACACCTGATGGGGGAAAAGAAAAGAGATTGCGATGGGAAGAGAGTGGTGGGGAAATCCGTGGGACAGTTTTCCTATTTTCTGGGTCTGTCCCTTGACCAAGGAACAGCTCAAAAAAGAAAGGATCTAAAATAAATTGTAAAAAATTACCTGTGGTTTCGCATTTGTTTTCTGTCTTTTTCTTTCTTGCTTGATCTTCGATAATACTGGGAAATGTAACCAATGTGATTGGGCTTGTTAATTTGGTGCCTTGCTTGTTTTTCGGGTTTTGGAATTCTGCCAGTCTGTGCTTCCGCGGCCTCTTTCATTTTGTCTTTCATCTCTTGACACAGCCACCCAGGGTGGTGTCAAAGCCTTAGAGCAGAAATGCATCAATATTGAAAGCAAAACGGAGCTTGTTTTCCTTGGTTTCCATGTGAATTTGAAGAATTGAGAGAGAATGAAAGTGCCACAAAAACAAAAGAAAAAAAATTGAGGCGAGTCGTGGACATGATAGACATGATTTTGCAAACAAGGCACATCTAGGAGAAAAGGCGGGAGAAAAATGAAGCTGGAGGTGCCGGGGATTGAACCCGGGGCCTCGTGCATGCTAAGCACGCGCTCTACCACTGAGCTACACCCCCCAACGCTCAACGTGGGCCAAAATATTTCTATGACCTGTTACTATTATCGGTCGTGCCAAGAAGCATATTTTGTCGAACTTAATTTTGAATTCGCTATACTGGATATTGTTTCCTGACTGCGCTGAGAGAAGGAAAACTGAATGTTATATCGAAAGTCCCGTGCTGGGCCTGGGATCTCCCGCTGCAGGTCACCCTCTCGGACGGCC